>NC_000017.11:1097171-1248686 GCF_000001405.40 Homo sapiens | reverse complement strand
TAGCTGGGACTAGGGGAGTGTGCCGCCACCCCTGGCCTGCATATTTAAGTTAACATATCATGGCTGGGCGTGGTGGCTCACACCTGTAATCCCAGCACTTTGGGAGGCCGAGGCGGGTGGATCATCTGAGGTCAGGAGTTAGGGACCAGCCTGGCCAACATGATGAAACTCCATCTCTACTAAAAATACAAAAAATTAGCGTAAGCCTGTAATCCCAGCTACTTGGGAGGCTGAAGCAGGAGAATCACTTGAACCCAGGAGGTGGAGGCTGTAGTGAGCTGAGATTGCACCATTGCACTCCAGCCTGGGCAACAAGAGTGAAACTCCGTCTCACACACACAAAAAAATAATAAAATTAACATGTTATGACCATGTGGTGTTTATTCTGAGAGAATTCAAGGATGGTTCATCACATGAAACTTTACCACAATAACCCAGAAATTCCTCTTCTGGTACTAGCGGATTAGATAATTTAGGACAATTCTTTCCTTGAAGAGAAATTTAAATACTGGACAGAATAACAAAAACACTATCCAAAGCCTCAAAGAGTTAACAGGATAAGGATCAGTTACTGGAGATGTTAGAAATGAAGATTGATGGGCTGGGCGCGGTGGCTCACGCCTGTAATCCCAGCACTTTGGGAGGTGGAGGCGGATGGATCACGAGGTCGGGAGATCGAGACCATCCTGGCTAACATGGTGAAACCCCGTCTCTACTAAAAATACAAAAAATAGCCCTCTCCCTCTCCCTCTCCCTCTTTCTCCCTCTCCCTCTCCCCACGGTCTCCCTCTCCCTCTCTTTCCACGGTCTCCCTCTGATGCCGAACCGAAGCTGGACTGTACTGCTGCCGTCTGGGCTCACTGCAACCTCCCTGCCTGATTCTCCTGCCTCAGCCTGCCGAGTGCCTGCGATTGCAGGCGCGCGCCGCCACGCCTGACTGGTTTTCGTATTTTTTTGGTGGAGACGGGGTTTCGCTGTGTTGGCGGGGCTGGTCTCCAGCTCCTAGCCGCGAATGATCCGCCAGCCTCGGCTTCCCGAGGTGCCGGGATTGCGGACGGAGTCTCGTTCACTCAGTGCTCAATGGTGCCCAGGCTGGAGTGCAGTAGCGTGATCTCGGCCCGCTACAACCTCCACCTCCCAGCCGCCTGCCTTGGCCTCCCAAAGTGCCGAGATTGCAGCCTCTGCCCGGCCGCCACCCCGTCTGGGATGTGAGGAGCATCTCTGCCTGGCCGCCCATCATCTGGGATGTGAGGAGCCCCTCTGCCTGGCTGCCCAGTCTGGAAAGTGAGGAACGTCTCTGCCCGGCCGCCATCCCATCTAGGAAGTGAGGAGCGTCTCTGCCCGGCCACCCATTGTCTGAGATGTGGGGGCGCCTCTGCCCCGCCACCCCGTCTGGGATGTGAGGAGCGTCTCCGCCCGGCAGCCACCCCATCCGGGAGGTGAGGGGCGCCTCTGCCTGGCCGCCCCTACTGGGAAGTGAGGAGCCCCTCTGCCCGGCCAGCCGCCCCATCCGGGAGGGAGGTGGGGGGTCAGCCCCCCCGCCCGGCCAGCCCCCCCATCCGGGAAGTGAGGGGCGCCTCTGCCCGGCCGCCCCTACTGGGAAGTGAGGAGCCCCTCTGCCCGGCCACCACCCCGTCTGGGAGGTGTGCCCAGCGGCTCATTGAGAACGGGCCATGATGACAGTGGCAGTTTTGTGGAATAGAAAGGCGGGAAAGGTGGGGAAAAGATTGAGAAATCGGATGGTTGCCGTGTCTGTGTAGAAAGAGGTAGACACGGGAGACTTTTCATTTTGTTCTGTACTAAGAAAACTTCTTCTGCCTTGGGATCCTGTTGATCTGTGACCTTACCCCCAACCCTGTGCTCTCTGAAACATGTGCTGTGTCCACTCAGGGTTAAATGGATTAAGGGCGGTGCAAGATGTGCTTTGTTAAACAGATGCTTGAAGGCAGCATGCTCGTTAAGAGTCATCACCACTCCCTAATCTCAAGTACCCAGGGACACAAACACTGCGGAAGGCCTCAGGGTCCTCTGCCTAGGAAAACCAGAGACCTTTGTTCACATGTTTATCTGCTGACCTTCCCTCCACTAGTGTCCTATGACCCTGCCAAAT
This sequence comes from Homo sapiens, assembly GCF_000001405.40. Taxonomy (NCBI): domain Eukaryota; kingdom Metazoa; phylum Chordata; class Mammalia; order Primates; family Hominidae; genus Homo; species Homo sapiens. The sequence goes on along the minus strand of NC_000017.11, from coordinate 1,246,576 downwards.
CCCCCTCTGCGAGAAACACCCAAGAATGATCAATTAAAAAAAAAAAAAAGAAATTGAAAAAAAAAATACAAAAAATAAAATAAAATAAAATAAAAAATCTTAGGGGGAAAAAAAGGTAAAAAAAAAAAAAAAAAAGAAATGAAGACTGATGAGCAAAGCACTCGGAATCACTTTCTCCAGAAATATTTGATGAAGGTCTAAGATGTCCTTTTTTTTTGAGACAGTCTCACTCCATCGCCCAGGCTAGAGGGCAGTGGAGAAATGATCTCGGCTCACCACAGCCTCCGCCTCCAGAGTTCAAGAGATTCTCCTGCCTCAGCCTCCCAAGTAGCTGGGATTACAGGCGTGAGCCACCATGCTTGGCTGATTTTTGTATTTTTAATAGAGACGGAGTTTCACCATGTTGTCCAGGCTGGTCTCGAGCTCCTGACCTCAGGTGATCCACCCGCCTCGGCCTCCCAAAGGGCTGGGATTACAAATGTGAGCCACTGTGCCTGGCTTTTTTTTTTTTTTTTTTTTTTGAGATAGGGTTTTACGCTGTCACCCAGGCTGGAGTGCAGTGGCATGATCACAGCTCACTGCAGCTTCGACATCCTAGGCCCAAGCGATCCTCCCACTTCAACCTCCTGAGTAGCTGGGACTACAGGCGTGCAGCACCATGCCCAGATCATTTTTCATTTTATTAGAAACTGAGATGTCGCTGGGTTGCCCAGGCTGGTCTTGAATTCTTGGGCTCAGGAAGTCCTCCTGTCTTGGCCTCCCAGAATGCTGGGCTTACAGGTGTGAGCCACCACACCCTGCCTAGTTTACTTTCTTAATATGTAGTATTGAAACAGCTGTATCAAAAAACAAAGTTAGAGCCATACTTACTGCATATGAGCAGAAATTCCAATTGGATCAAAGATTAAAATGCAAAAAAACAAAAAGAAAATATAAAAACATGATTTTATGAGTGCAGAGTAAGGCCTTTCTTACCATATCACAATATCAAAAATCCACCAAAAAGAAATCAGTAAATTTGGCTAAATAAAAAAGTCTGCAGGGAAATTGTAAAGTTCCATGGTTTGATTGTTTATTCCCTCCACAACTCATGTTGAAATTTAATTGCCATTGTAACAGTTTTTTTTTTTTTTTTGAGGAGTCTCACTCTGTTGCCCAGGCTGAAGTCCGATAGCACGATCTCAGCTCACTGCAACCTCCACCTCCTGGGTTCAAGTGATTCTCCTGCCTCAGCCTCCTGAGTAGCTGGGATGACAGGCGTGCGCCACCACGTCTGGCTAATTTTTGTATTTTTAGTAGAGATGGGGTTTCACTGTATTGGTCAGGCTAGTCTTGAACTCCTGGCGTCAGGTGATCCGCCCACCTCGGCCTCCCAAAGTGCTGGGATTACAGGTGTGAGCCACCGCACCCGGCCTGTAACAGTGTTCAACAGTGTTCGGAGGTAGGACTTTTAAGAGGTGATTAGGCCAGGAGGGCTTCACCCTTGTGTGTAGGCTTAACGCTATATCTTATAAAAGGGCTTTGCCCTCATCTGTAGTGGATTAATGCCATCATTGTATAAAAGGGTACGTCTGGGGCCCTGTTGCTGCTTGCCTCTCCGCCCTCTGCCGTGTGAGTAACACGCTCCCTCTCCCTGGATGATGAACTTACAAGGCTCTGTCTTGGAAGCAGAGATCAGGCCCTCACCTGGCACTAGGCCCGTCGCTGCTTTTTGCTTTCCAGAACTGTGCATTTCTGTTAGTTATACATGTCCCAGTCTCAGGTATTGTTACAGCAGCACAAAATGGACTAATGCAATAAGCAAAGTCAAATGATAAACGACAAGTTTGGAAAAATATTTTCAACTCATATCACAGGCAAAGAGCTAAGTTCTCTGGTATTTAAAGAATTCCTACAAATGGATAAGAAAAAGATTAACAGCCCAAGAGGAAAATGGGCAAAAGACTTAAATAGATGGGCCGGGTGCGGTGGCTTACCCTTTCATCCCAGCACTTTGGGAGGCCGAGGCGGGTGGATCACTTGAGGTCAGGAGTTTGAGACCAGCCTGGCCAACATGGCAAAACCCGGTCTCTACTAAAAATACAAAAATTAGCCAGGTGTGGTGGTGGGCGTCTGTAATCACAGCTACTCGGGAGACTGAGGCAGTAGAATCGCTTGAACCTGGGAGACAGAGGTTGCAGTGAGCCGAGATGGTGCCATTGCACTCCAGCCTGGGCGACAGAGCGAGACTGCATCTTGGGAGAAAAAAAAAAAAAAAAAAGATTTCCACAGAAAAAAGAGAAATGGCTCTTATTATGAAAACATTCTTAAGCCAGTCATAATAAGATAAATGCAAATTAAAACTATATTGATATATCATTTTCATGTGTTATACTAGTAAAATTCCAAAATTTGATATCACACTGCATGGGCCAGGGCATAAGAAAACAAGCACTCTCAGACATTGTTGGTGGGGGGGTACATTGACACCATGCCTCAAGGGCAGTTAGTATTTAGCTGGGCATGGTGGCACATGCCCAGCTACTTAGGAGACTGAGGCAGGAGAATTGCTTGAACCTGGGAGGCGGAGGTTGCAGTGAGCTGAGATCGCACCGTTGCACTCCAGCCTGGGCAACAAGAGCGAAACTCCGTCTAAAAAAAAAAAAAAAGCCTCAAACTCCTGGGCTCAAATGATCCTCCTGCCTTAGCCTTCTGAGGAGCTGGCACTACAGGTGCTGGTCTGGAACTCCTGGGCTCAAGCAATCCTCCTGCCTCGGCCTGCCATAGCGCTGGGATTATAGGCATGAGCCACCACGCCCGCAGAGAGTTCTGTGAGGGTCCTTACGTCAACCCAGAACAGACATTTTTGTTTGCCTGCTCCTTTTTTCTTGCCAACAAGGCTCTGATTTCTCATGGGGAAATTAACGCTTCCCAGGTTCTCAGCCATGTGGTTTAGGTGCAATTAACCTGCGCCCTCAGCTCCAGGGATAGATGCTAGTTGGCTTACGGCAGTGCCCCTGGCAGCAGTGATTGGTTTAAAATAGAACGAGACCATCCTGGCTAACAAGGTGAAACCCTGTCTGTACTAAAAATTCAAAAAATTAGCCGGGCACGGTGGTGCAACCTCTGCCTCCAGGGTTCAAGCGATTCTCTTGTCTCAGCCTCCTGAGTAGCTGGGATTACAGGTTCCTGCCACTGGGCCCTGCTAATTTTTATAGTTTTAGTAGAGATGGGGTTTCACCATGTTGGCCAAGACTGCGCCACTGCACTTCGGCCTGGGCAACAGAGCAAGACTCCGTCTCAAAAAAAAAAAAGAAGAGGCCGGGCGCGGTGGCTCACATCTGTAATCCCAGCACTTTGGGAGGCCGAGGCGGGTGGATCACAAGGTCAGGAGATGGAGACCATCCTGGCTAACTCGGTGAAACCCCGTCTCTACTAAACAAAATACAAAAAATTAGCCGGGCGCGGTGGCAGGTGCCTGTAGTCCCAGCTACTCGGGAGGCTGAGGCAGGAGAATGGCGTGAACGCGGGAGGCGGTGCTTGCAGTGAGCCGAGATGGCGCCACTGCACTCCAGCCTGGGCGACAGGGCGAGACTGTCTCAAAAAAAAAAAAAAAAAAAAAAGAAGAAAATAAGCCAGGTGCAATGGCTCATACCTGTAATCCCAGCACTTTGGGAGGCCAAGTAGGGTGGATCATTTGAGCCCAGGAGTTAGAGACCAGCCTGGGCAACATGGTGAAACAAACCAGAAAACCAAACTACCAAAAAAAAACCAAAAAACAAAAACTAGCAAAAAAAATTAGCCAGGCTCGGTGTTGCACATCTGAAGTCCCAGCTACTAGGGAGGCTGAGGTGGGAGGGTCCCTTGAACCCAGGAGGTTGAGGCTGCAGTGAGCAGTGAGTGAGCCACTGTACTCCAGCCTGGGCGACAGATTGAAACTGTCTCAAAATAAATAAATTGGGGGCTGGGCATGGTGGCTCACACTTATAATCCCAGCACTTTGGGATGCTGAAGCAGGAGGATCACTTGAAGCAAGGGGTTCGACACCAGCCTGGGCAACATAGCAAGACCTTGTCTCTACAAAAAATAAAAAATTAGCCAAAGCAAGTCTCTCTGTCAGTCTCTCTCTCTCTCTCTCTGTCTCTCTCTTTAAGTTCCAGTTGGAGAACTACCAAAGTGGACCTAGTTCCCCCAGGGAGAGGTGCCAGAATCGAGAGAGATGTTCATTTTTTTTTTTTTTTTTTGAGATGGAGTCTCGCTCTGTCACCCCGGCCGAGATGTTCATTTTTTATCTTATATAATTCTGGATTCTTCCAGTTTTCTTTCACAAGCCCTTATTGCTTTTGTAATTTAGAAAATGTGGAAAACAGAAGTTGCACATGAGACCTTTGCTTGCTTGTTTCTAGAAAGAGAGGCGTGGAATTGGCAGAGCCCTGGCAGCGTGATGAGGAAACAGACCCCATTCTGCAGTAATTAGAAAACGTCATGATACAATGCCACGTGAAGCACACACCAGCACCTGGCAAAACGCTCAACCTGGATCAAATTACTGGGAAACATCAGATGGGTCCAGATTACGCAGGACACTCTCCATGACGACTGGCCTGGAATCCTCAAAAACAGCAATGCTGTGAAAGACATAAATAAAACAGAAAAAAAGGTAGGAGGGCCAGGCGCAGCGGCTCACGCCTGTAATCCCAGCACTTTGGGAGGCTGAGGCAGGTGGATCACGAGGTCAGGAGTTCAAGACCAGCCTGGCCAAAATGGTGAAACTCTGTCTCTACTAAAAATACAAAAAATTAGCCAGGTGTGGTGGCACATGCCTGTAATCCCAGCTACTCAGGAGGCTGAGGCAAGAGAATCACTTGAACCCAGGAGGCGGAGGTTTCAGTGAGCCAAGACTGAGCCATTGCACTCCAGCCTGGGCGACAGAGCGAGACTCCATCTCAAAGAACAACAACAAAAACCAGGCACAGTAGCTCACGCCTGTAATCCCAGCACTTTGGGAGGCCAAGGTGGGCAGATCACGAGGTCAGGGGTTCGAGACCAGCCTGACAAACATGGTGAAACTCCATCCCTACTAAAAATACAAAAATTAGCCGAGTGTGGTGGCGCACACCTGTAGTCCCAGCTACTTGGGAGGCTGAGGCAGGAGAATTGCTTGAACCCAGGAGACAGAGGCTGCAGTGAGCCGAGATTGTGCCACTGCACTCCAGCCTGGCCAACAGAGCAAGACTCTGTCTCAAAAAAAAAAAAAAAGGTCCAATAGCTAGAATATATGAAAACTCTTACAACTCAACAATAGAAAGGCAAACAGTGCAACTAAAAATTGGGTTAGGAATTTGAATAGACAGTTTTCTAAAGAAAATATATAGATGCCCAGTGGGAATGTAACTGCCCAAGGGGTTCACCCTGCCCACCGCCCAGACAGGGAGGCTTCATCAAGACAGGGGATCGCAATAGAGAAAGAGTAATTCACGCAGAGCCGGCTGTGCGGGTGACTGGAGTTCTATTATTACTCTAGTCAGTCTGAGCACTGGGGAGTAGAGTTTTTTTTGTTTTTGTTTTTGTTTTTTTTTGAGACGGACTCTCGCTCTGTTGCCCAGGCTGGAGTGCAGTGGCACTATCTCGTCTCACTGCAAGCTCTGCCACCCTGGTTCAAGCGATTCTCCTGCCTCAGCCTCCCGAATAGCTGGGACTACAGGCGTCCACCACCATGTCTGGCTAATTTTTTTGTATTTTTAGTAGAGAGCAGATTTTACTGTGTTAGCCAGGATGGTCTCGATCTCCTGACCTCGTGATCCGTCTGCCTCAGCCTCCCAAAGTGCTGGGATCACAGGCGTGAGCCACCGCGCCCGGCCAATGGGAACAGAGTTTTTAAGGATAACTTGGTGGGTGGGGGAAGCCAGTGAGCCAGGAGTGCTGATTGGTCAGAGGTGAAATCACAGGGCGTCAAAGCTGTCTTCTTGAGCTCAATCGTTCCTGGGTGGGGTCCGCAAGATCAGATGAGCCAGTTTATTGATGTGGGTGGTGTCAGCTGACTCATGAAGTGCAGGGTTTCCAAAATATCTCAAGCGCTGATCTTAGGAGCAGTTTAAGGAGGGTCAGAATCTTCTGGCCTCCAGCTGCATGACTCCTAAACCATAATTTCTAATCTTGGGGCTAAAGTTAGTCCTGCAAAGGCAGACGAGTCCCCGGGGAAGAAGGAGGTCTGCTTTGGGAAAGGGCTGTTACCGTCTTTGTTTAAACTATAAACTATAAACTAAGTTTCTCCTAAAGTTAGTTCAGCCTATGCCCAGGAATGAACAAGGGCAGCTTGGAGGTTAGGAGCAAGCCGGAGTCGGTCAAGTTAGATCTAACACTGTCTCAGTCATCATTTTGGAAAGGTGGTTTCAAGACCATGCATATGTGTTCATCATTAATTATTAGGCAAAGGCAAATAAATCAAAACCATGACGAGGCTGGGTGCAGTGGCTCACGCCGGTAATCCCAGCACTTTGGGAGGTTGAGAGGGCTGAGAGGACTGGGTGCGGTGGCTCACACTGGTAATCCCAGCACTTTGGGAGGCTGAGGTGGGAACACAGATTGAGCCCAGACTTTGAGACCAGCCCCGGCAGCATAGTGAGATCTCGTCTCTACAAGACAGTTAAAAAAATAATTAGCTGAGTGTGGTGGCAGGCACCTGTGGTCCTAGCTACTCAGGAGGCTGAGGTGGGAGGATCACTTGAGTACTGGTGCTTGAAGCAGCAGTGAGCCGCAACTGTGCCACTGCACACCAGCCTGGGCGACAGAGCAAGACCCTATCTCAAAAACAAAACAAGGCCGGGCGCGGTGGCTCACGCCTGTCATTCCAGCACTTTGGGAGGCTGAGGGCAGGCGGATCACGAGGTCAGGAGTTTGAGACCAGCCTGACCAACATGGTGAAACCCTGTCTCCACTAAAAATACAAAAGTTAGCCAGGCGTGGTGGCAGTCACCTGTAATGCCAGCTACTCAGGAGGCTGAGGCAGGAGAATCGCTTGAACCCAGGAGGTGGAGTTTGCAGTGAGCTGAGATTGAGGCACTGCACTCCAGCCTGGGTGACAGAGCAACACTCCATCTCAAAAAGAAAAAAAAACCCCGAAGGAAACAACAACCAGAGAAACCACAATGAGATACCACATCACACGCACTAGGGTGGCTATGATACAAAAAATGCACACTAGTGTGGGAAAGAATGTGGAGCAGTTGGAGCCCGTATACGCCGGGAAGGTAAAATGACGTAGATGCTTTGGAAACGGTCGGACTGTTCTCTGATAAGCGAAATTCAGAGTGACCATATGAGCCAGCAATTTCGCTCCTAAGCAGAAACAGAGAAAATGGAAAACATGTCCATACAAAAACTTGGACACGGCCAGGCACAGTGGCTCACACCTGTAATCCCAGCACTTTGGGAGGTCGAGGTGGACGGATCACATGAGGTCAGGAGTTCCAGACCAGCCTGGCCAACAGGGTGAAACCCCATCTCTACCAAAAATACAAAAATTAGCCGGGTGTGGTAGCACACACCTGTAATCCCAGCTACTCAGGAGGCTGAGTGAGGCAGGAGAATCGCTTGAACCCGGGAGGCAGAGGTTGCGGTGAGCCAGGATGGCGCCACTGCACTCCAGCCTGGGCGACAGAGGTAGACTCTGTCTCAAAAAAAAAAAATCTATCTCTCTATCTCTCTGTCTGTCTATCTATCTATCTATCTATCTATCTATCTATCTATCATCTATCTATCATCTATCTATCTATATTTATATATCTGACAAAGAGCATGAATAAATAATATAAAGAACTAGACAGGCCATGGCTGGGCGTGGTGGCTCACGCCTGTAATCCCAGCACTTTGGGAGGCTGAAGTGGGTGGCTCACAAGGTCAGGAGATCGAGACCAACCTTGTTAACATGGTGAAACCCCGTCTCTACTGAAAAAATACAAAAAAATTAGCCAGGCATGGTGACGGGCGCCTGTAGTCCCAGCTACTAGGGAGGCTGAGGCAGGAGAATGGCGTGAACCCGGGAGGCGGAGCTTGCAGTGAGCCGAGATTGTGCCACTTTACTCCAGCCTGGGCAACAGAGCGAGACTCCATCTAAAAAAAAAAAAAGAAAAGAACTAAACAGGACAGGTGCAATGGCTTAGGCCTGTAATCCTAGCACTTTGGGAGGCTGAGGCAGGTGGATCACTTGAGTCTAGCAGTTTGAGACCAGCCTAACAACATGGTGAAACCTGGTCTCTACAAAAAATACAGAAATTAGCTGAGCGTGGTGGTACGTACCTGTAATCCTAGCTACTCAAGAGGCCGAGGTGGAAGGATCGCTTGAGTCTCAGAGGTGGATGTTGCAGCAAGCTGAGATGGTACCACTGCACTCCAGCCTAGGTGACAGAGCAAGACCTTGTCTCAAAAAAAAAAAAAAAAGAGCTAGAGCATACTGGCTCATGTCTGTAATCCCAACACTTTGGGAGGCCAAGGAGGGAGGATCACTTAAGCCCAGCAGTTCAAGTCCAGCCTGGGAAACATAGGGAGAACCTGTCTCTACAAAAAAGAAAAAAAACCATAGCCAGGCATGTAGTCCCAGCTACTTGGGAGGCTGAGGTGGGAAGATTACTTGAGCCCAGGAGTTCCAGACCAGCCTGGGCAACAGACCTCAAGACCTTGTCTCAAAAAATATAAAAATAAAAAAAGGACTATTACAAGTCAACTCTAAAAGGATATCCAATAAAAAATGGACAAAAGATGTAAACAAACACTTCATAAAAGAAAATATGCAAATGGTCAATAAGTACATGAAAAGATGTTATACATCATTAATAATCAAATTAAACCACAACAAGATAGTATTATATACCCACTAAAGTGGCTAAAGCAAAAAAAACTTACAACACTAAGTGTTGACATGCACATAGAACAATGAGATGCACACACATTGCTGTTAATAATGGAAAACAGGCTGGGCGTGGTGGCTTACGCCTGTAATCCCAACACTTTGGGAGGCCGAGGCAGGCGAATCACCTGAGGTCAGGGGTTCCAGACCAGCCTGGCCAACATGGCGAAACCCCGTCTCTATTAAAAATACAAAAAATTAAAAAAAAAAAAAAAGGAAAATAGTACAGACACTTTGGAAAACATTGTATGGTAATATCTTTAAAAGTTAAACATACAGTTTTGGCCGGGCGCGGTGGCTCACACCTGTAATCTCAGCACTTTGGGAGGCCAAGGCAGGCGGATCATGAGGTCAGGAGGTCGAGACCGTCCTGGCTAACACAGTGAAACCCTGTCTCTACTAAAAAAATACAAAAAATTAGCCGGTCACGGTGGTGGGCGCCTGTAGTCCCAGCTACTCGGGAGACTGAGGCGGGAGAATGGCGTGAACCCGGGAGGCAGAATGAGCCAAGATAGCGCCACTGCAGTCCAGCCTGGGCGAAACAGCGAGACTTCGTTTCAAAATTAAAAAAAAAAAAAAAAAGAAAAAAGAAAAGTTAAACATACAGTTTCCTTATGACCCAGCAATCCCATTTCTGTATTTTTTGTGGGGAATAGAAATGAAAACACTTGTCCACACAGAGACAACTCCAATGTCTATCAACTGGAGAATAAACAAATAGGGGTATATTCATACAATGGAATATTCTTCCACAATAAAAAGGAATGAATTACACAAACTTGAATGACTATCTTTTATGTTTGTTGAGACGGAGTTTTGCTCTTGTTGCCCAGGCTGCAGTGCAATGGTGTGATCTTGGTTCACTGCAACGGCCTCCCGAGTTCAATCAATTCTCCTGCCTCAGCCTCCTGAGTAGATGGGATTACAGGCACCCGCCACCCCGCCCAGCTGATTTTTGAGTTTTGTGTTTTGTATTTTTTTTTTGTTTTTAGTGAGGATGGGGTTTCAGCATGTTGGCCAGGCTGGTCTCACTGCTGATCTCAGGTGATCTGCCCCCTCGGCCTCCCAAAGTGCTGGGATTACAGGCGTCAGACACTAAGCCTGGCCCTGAATGACTGTCTTAATCTCATCAAACCACACTTGTTTATCTGCAAAATAATGATAATAACACTTTTGTCACAGCGTTAGAATGAAGGTTGAATGCCTGTTTCCACCTAGTGTGTTAAAATGCCTATTTCCGACCCTGGGGTATGGGAAGGGAAGGAAGGAGATGTAAACAACAGTGCAGGTTGAACTCAGAAACACTGTGTTGTTTCAACAGTCCAACACCAAGACTACATTCTTTCATACAAGATTCTAGGAAGGGGCCGGATGCGGTGGCTCACACCTGTAATCCCAGCACTTTGGGAGGCCGAGGTGGGAGGACGGGCTTGAGCCCAGGAGTTTGAGACCAGCCTAGGCAACATAGTGAGACCTCATCTCTACAAAAAAAAAATAAATAAAAATCACCACATGTGGTGGCTTGTGCTCCCAGCTACTTGGGAGGCTGAGGAGGGAGGACTGCTTGAGCCTGGGAGGTCGAGGCTGCAATGACGTGTGGTCGCACCACAGCACTCCGGCCTGGGAGATGGAGTGAGAGCCTGTCTAAAAAAAAAAAAAAAAAAAAAAAAAAATTCTAGAAAAGGCAAGACTGTAGTGACAAAAATTCTAGAAAACTGGGTGCCTGGTGGGGTGCGGTGGCTCACACCTGTAATCCCAGCACTTTGGGAGGCCGAGGTGGGTGGATCACAAGGTCAGGAGTTCGAGACCAGCCTGACCAACACGGTGAAACCCTGTCTCTACTAAAAATACAAAAATTAGCTGGCCGTGGTGGTGCATGCCTGTAATCCCAGCCACTCAGGAGGCTGAGGCAGGAGAATCGCCTGAACCTGGGAGGCGGAGGTTACAGTGAGCTGAGATTGCGGCCACTGCACTCCAGCCTGGGAGACAGAGCAAGACCTTGTCTCAAAAAAATAAACCAAAAACGAAGTTTAAACTTAATTTGCCAGGCCCTGGGACCTAGTGGGTGCTCAACAAATATTTATTGATTAAAGAAATGCCAGTGACAGATGCACCTGGACCAAGTTCTTACAAAGCTGCAGGACTACAGAATCTAGCAGGCTGAACGTGGTGGCTCACACCTGTAATCCCAACACTTTGGGAGGCTGAGGCAGGAAGATCGCTTGAGCCCAGGATTTCTGGACCAGGCTGGGGAACATAAGGAGACCCTGTCTCTACAAAAAAAAAAAAAAAAAAAAAAAAAAGCTGGGTGTGGTGGCGTGCACTTGGGAGGCTGAGGTGGAAGGATGGCTTGAGTACCGGAGGCTGAGGCTGCAGTGAGCTATGATAGCATCACTGCACTCCAGCCTGGGTGACAGAGTGAGACTCTGTCTCTTTTTCTTTTCTTTTTTTTTTCAAGATGGAGTCTCACTCTGTCGCCCAGGCTGGAGTATGGTGGCACGATCTCTGCTCACTGCAACCTCCGCCTCCCGGGTTCAAGTGCTCCTCCTACCTCAGCCTCCCACCTTACCCAAGTAGCTGGGATTACAGGCACCCGCCACCACACCCGGCTAATTTTTGTATTTTTAGTAGAGACGGGGTTTCACCATGTTGGCCAGGCTGGTCTCGAACTTGTGACCTCAGGTGATCCACTTGCCTCGGCCTCCCAAAGTGCTGGGATTACAGGCATGAGCCACTGTGCCCCGCCTACCCTGTCTCTCAACAACAACAACAAAAAAAAAAAAAAAAAAAAAATTCAGCAGACTAGCTGTGTGGCTTCTAACCTCTTTGACCTTCCATTTCTGTCTGTCTGAAGCGGCGACAATAATACCTTCTTCACAGGGTTGCTGTGAGGAATTAGAAGAGATAAAAAATGTATGGCAGCTAGAGGTGTGGACTCAATAAATGTCAGCAGCCTACCCCTGTCCCCATGAGGACCCAGAGCCAAGTCATAAAGCTTGAGCTATCCACCAGCTGGGGACAATGCAGGCTGCTCCTGGGATCTGTTTATAGAAGATGATGTGTGCTGCCATTTCCAGCTCTACTGGTCCTTGTGGAAAAAATTAGTGGTATTGGTAACAATTTCCTTGGGCCAAAAGAGAATCATACCACGGCTTTAATTAAAGGACAGATTTGAAACTATCCTCCCAGGGAACTTGCACTTTCAGAAATGGATGCGTATTAGTAACCTGTAGTTTTCTTTTTCTTGGTGCATTTAAATATACATATTGAAACAGTTTCCAACCAATATGCTGTTGCCTGGGGTCATCCCTCACTTCTGGACTGCTCTTCCTCTCCCATTCTGAAATCTGTATACAGAGGCCAAGATGTCGTGGACTCCCTTTGATGGACTCTCCCTGGCGTGGGCTGGCGATAGGCATTGGAAGCTTCTCAGTCCTTCTCAGTGGACAAAGGAGATTGTGATGGCCCCTGGGATGTGCAGTGAAGGTGGGAGAGAAAGCAGGTTGAGGAGCTAGGTGAAAGATCGAGAAATCACTCAAACTGGGGAATAGGAAGTTAGTGCATTTTATTTTTATTATTTATTTATTTATTTTTGAGACGGAGTTTCGCTCTTGTTGCCCAGGCCGGAGTGCAGTGGCACAATCTCGGCTCACTGCAACCTCCGCCTCCTGGGTTCAAGCAGTTCTCCTGTCTCAACCTCCTGAGTAGCTGGGATTACAGGCGTCTGCCACTACGCCTGGCTAATTTTTGGTATTTTTAGTAGAGACGGGGTTTCAACATACTGGCCAGGCTGGTCTGGAATCCCTGACCTCAGGTGATCTGCCCGCCTCGGCCTTCCAAAGTGCTGGGATTACAGGCATGAGCCACCGCACCCGGCCAAAGTAGTGTATTTAAAACACGTGGGTGGAGCACGGTGGCTCACGCCTGTAATCCCAGCACTCTGGGAGGCCGAGGCGGGCAGATCACCTGAGGTCAGGGATTCCAGACCAGCCTGGCCAGTATGTTGAAACCCCGTCTCTACTAAAAATATAAAAATTAGCTGGGTGTGGTGTCACGTGCCTGCAATCCTAGCCACTCGGGAGGCTGAGGCAGGAGAGTCACTTGAACCTGGGAGGCGGAGGTTGCAGTGAATGGGGATTGCACTCCAGCCTGGGTGACAGAGTGAGACTCTATCTCAAAAAAAAAAAAATAGAATAATAATAACAAAAAACATATCCATTTCTCCATAGCAGTCTGGCGTGAAGACAAACACTGGGATGATTCATGCCAGTGGCACACCGAGTTAGAAAGAAAGAAAGAGGCCGGGCGCGGTGGGTCACGCCTGTCATCCCAGCACTTTGGGAGGCCGAGGCGGGCGGATCACGAGGTCAGGAGATCGAGACCATCCTGGCTAACACGGTGAAACCCCGTCTCTACTAAACATACAAAAAATTTAGCCGGGCGTGGTGGTGGGCGCCTGTAGTCCCAGCTACTTGGGAGGCTGAGACAGGAGAATGGCGTGAACCTGGGAGGCGGAGCTTGCAGTGAGCCGAGATCGCGTCACTGCACTCCAGCCTGGACGACAGAGTGAGATTCTGTCTCAAAAAAAAAAAAAAAAAGGAAAAGAATAAACAAAGAAGGAAGAGGGATATTAGTAAAATGAGTAAACACAGACTTTGGCAAGAAAGGAAATTCTTTCTTGGAGTTGACGTGTGGGAAGCAAATGTGCCCCAGTCCGGAGTGATTCAGGACAGGAGAGCCCAGCAGGAGGCAAGGAGGGGGTTCATGCATCTGTCTGTTTGTTCGTTCGTTCATTTCTTTCCTTCAACAATTATCAGTCATCTCTATACCACACTCTGCGAGAAGGTGTCGGAATACAAAAATGAAAAAAGACACAATCTCTGCACTTGAGGGGTTCTTAGAGTAGGGGAAACAGAAGGTCTCACTGGTAACTACAATAAAGTGGAGTCCAATGCAGTGCCTCACGCCCGTAATCCCAGCACAGTGGGAGGCCAGGGCAGGCCGATTGCTTGAGCCCAGGAGTTCCAGAGCATCCTGGGCAACAGTGAGACCCCCATCTCTGCGAAAAATACAAAAATTAGCCAGGCATGATGCCACATGCCTGTAGTCCCAGCTACTCCGCAGGCTGAGGAGGGAGGATGGCTTCCGCCCAGGGGGTCCAGGCTGCAGTGAGCAGTAATTGCACCGCTACCCTACAGGTGGAATCCCCAGTGGCTCATGCTGGTAATCCCAGCACTTGGGGAGGCAGAGAGGGTGGACTGCTTGAGCCCAGGAGTTCAAGAGGAGCCTGGGCAACATGAGATGATGGGGGCAACAGCAGTGAGCACGACTTTGAGATAGTGGATTTTTTTGTCTTTTTGGGGGATTTTTTTTTTTTTTTTGAGACAGAGTCTCGCTCTGTCACCCAGGCTGGAGCGCAATGGCGTGATCTTTGCTCACTGCAGCCTCCACCTCTTGGGTTCAAGCCATTCTCCTGCCTCAGCCTCCCTTGGGAGTAGCTGAGATTACAGGCACCCGCCACCACACCCGATTAATTTTTGTGTTTTTAGTAGAGACGGGATTTCATCATGTTGGCCAGGCTGGTCTTGAAATCCTGAGCTTAGGTCATCCACCTGCCTCGGCCTCCCAAAGTGCTGGGATTACAGGTGTGAGCCACCGCAACTGGCCGAGATGGTGGATTTGAAATTTGTTCCATTTGCTCATGGCCCCCTGCCGTTTCAGGGAGTGAGATGAGATGGAGAAGCCGTTGCCTCTCTACAGGAAAAGAAACAAAAAAAGGTGGAACAAGGGCAAACAAAGATAAAAGGCAGGCATGAGATCCAATGCTGATACAAACAAGGGCGAGGAGGGGCTGAAAAGGTTCATCAGAGGGGGAGGTCCCCAGGCAGCGGGGACTTTTGCAAGCGTGTAGGGAGAGATGAGAAGTTCCAAGGAAAAGGAAAAGGGTGTGAGGTCTTTGGGGCCAGCTTTGAGCTGGCAAGGCTAAATTATAGGAAGAAGGCAGCGACGTGGGCAGAGACCAGATGTGGGAGGACTTCCTGCGTCAGGCCAAGGAGTCTGGACTCCACCCTGTACGCGACGGGAGCCAAGAAAGGGCGCAAACACATGGCACATTTGTGGTTAAGAAACATCTTCCTTGCTTCCTTGTAGCCTTGAGGAATGAATTAAGGGGCTGGAAAAGTGGGACCAGGACGGCCTGTGCCCATGGTTCAGGTGAGAGCCGGGTGGGTGGCAGGGGCTATGGAGAAGGTGGCTGAGTTTAGCTCTAGTCCCCAAAAGGTGCTGTGGGGAGGAAGAATTTCCAGCTGCCAAGTCAGCCTCTTAGATCAATTTCTTTGTTTTCTTTCTTTTTTTTATTTTTATTTTTTGAGATGGAGTCTCACTCTTGTCGCCCAGGCTGGAGTGCAGTGGTGTGATCTTGGCTCGCTGCAACCTCCGCCTCCCAGGTTCAAGCAATTCTGTTGCCTCAGCCTCCCGAGTAGCTGGGATTACAGGCGTCTGCCACCACGCCCGGCTAATTTTTGTATTTTTGTAGAGACACGGTTTCCCCATGTTGGCCAGGCTGGTCTCGAACTCCTGACCTCAGGTGATCCGCCCACCTCGGCCTCCCAAAGTGCTGGGATTACAGGCGTGAGCCACCGCGCCCGGCCTCTTAGATCAATTTCTTCATGCTTAAAATGAAGGAAACGTGAATCATTGATAAGGTGTCCCCTCTTTAAGAAAGCACGAGATGGTTTATCAGGGCCTCTCTTCGCAGGCAGTGGAGCCTCATCCACAACCCTGGAAAAGAACTGGAAAGCCTTGCTCAGCCAGGTGCGGAGGGCAGGGCCACGTGGGACCCCCGTCTCCAGGCCCCCTCTCCAGCTCCCGTTTCTTTCTTTCTTTTTTTTTGAGATGGAGTTTCGCTCTTGTTGTCTAGGCTGGAGTGCAATGGCGCAATCTCGGCTCACCGCAACCTCCGCCTCCCGGGTTCAAGCGATTCTCCTGCCTCAGCCTCCCGAGTAGCTGGGATTACAGCCATGTGCCACCACGCCCGGCTAATTTTGTATTTTTAGTACAGACGCGGTTTCTCCATGTTGGTCAGGCTGGTCTCGAACTCCGGACCTCAGGTGACCCGCCCACCTCGGCCTCCCAAAGTGCTGGGATTACAGGCGTGGGCCACCGCGCCCGGCCCAGCTCCCATTTCTCGTCCTCCCCAGGGGAAGTGTCTGAGGCCGCAAAGAGGAGATGGAACGGGGGGGATCCTCGTAGACACCCACGCGGACCCTCCGCCAGGCCGCGGCCCCTGCAGCCACGGTTGGACTCAGTCCCCGGGGAGTCCAGCTTTGAGGTCCCGGGCGCCTCCAGCTAGAGCCGCTTGGCTCAGTCATCCTTGGGTGTTTTTCCCGGAAGAGCTTCAGTGAGAAGAGGAGAGAAGCTTACAGGGGCCGACAGAACCCCGAAGCGTTACCCCCGGATTTGGACTAAACTGCTCCGTGATCTTCGTCACGTGAGTTTAAGGCACGATCGCGCCACTGTGCCCCAGCCTGGGCGACAGAGCGAGACCTGGCCTCAAAAAAGGAAAATCAATCAATCAGTCAATCAATCAATCAATCATCAATCAATCAATCCATCAATCCCGGCGCAGGGCGACCCCGCGGGTCCGCAGTGGCACCAGCCACGCCGCCCTCAGCCCCCACGTCTTCCCCCGGCCCGGCAGGAGGGTGTCCGGGGCCCCGCGCTCGGGTGCAGGGAGCGGGGCCGACAGGGGAGCGGGGCGGGCGGGGTCCGGGGCCGGGATCGGGGCGGGCGGCGAAGGCTCGAGTCCAGGCCCCGCAGCTCCCGCCCTCCCCCGGCGGCTCCGCGGCCCGAGCTGGCTGTGGGATGCCCGGGGCGGGTTCTCATCCCCGGGGCGCCCGCCCCCGCCGCGAGGAGCCGCCGACGTCAGGGAGGCGAAACCCAGGAGGGGAAGAAAAGAGGAAGAAGACGGGGAGGAGGCGCGAGGGCGGAAGGGGACACTTGACTTTCCCTCTGGTCTCTTCGGGGGCCGCGGGGAAGGGTCGGCGCGGACGGAGCTCGGGGCATGTGGGACCCCCGCGCGTTCGAGCGGCGCTGGCGGGCCGAGTTCCCCGGGGCGGAGGCGCCGGTCCCGAGGCTGGAGTCGGTGCGGGACGCGGAGCGGGAGCTGGAGCGCCGCAGACTCAACCTGGAGCGGCTGCAACAGGTGCTGGCGGAGGAGCAGCTCAAAGCCTCGCTCCCGCAGGCCGCGCTGGCCCGGGGCGGCGGCGGAGACTCCGGGGAGCCCGGGCGCCCCGACCCCGAGGCCGAGTCTCCCCGCGGGGACCCCGGGCGCCCCGACCCCGAGGCCGAGTCTCCCCGCGGGGACCTGCCCGCCGGGCCCGGGGCGGCCGGAGAAGCCGGCGGGGGAAGGAGCTGGGCCGACGCCGTCCACCGGCAGCTCCTGCAGCCCCAGCTGCGGTTCCGGGCCCGGGAGGACGACGCGCCCCTCGGGGACCCCCAGGCGGCTCCCGGCACGGACGAGGGGGGCGACGGCGGCGACCACGACTTCGAGATGGTGGATTTCAACGAGAAGTTCATCCTCAGCCACTGGCTGGTGGCCCCTTGCCGGTTCGGGACCCGCGAGCGGGCGCGCAGCCCCCGCCGCTGGATGCACCTGATCCCCGGGGGGCGGCGGCCGCAGCGGGGGACCCGCGACCTGGAGCAGCGGGAGGCCGAGGCCAAGGGCCGCCCGGGCTCGCCCCTCGCCGCGGAGGAGACCCCCGGGCGCGAGCACCTGCCCCCGTGGCGGCGCCGCAGGTTCCTGCGGGTGCCCGAGCGGGACTCGCCCGGCCACAGCTCGCCGGAGAGAGACAGCGACGGCAGCCGGCACAGCTCCGACCGCGAGGACGACTTCTCCGCAGGTGGGCGCCCCCCCCAGACCCCGCTCGACCCCGCCGCGCGCCCCCCACCCCGGGCTGCCGGGACCCCTTCCCGGCCGACTCCGCGGCCCTGTTTAACCTCGAGCTCGGGGCCGGGGAGCGGGCGGGAAGGAGGGTGAGCTGCGCCCGTGTACCCCAAAGCCACCTGTGGAGCTTAGAAAACACGTGCAAGGCGACGTTAAGCTCGGGCGACTCTATGAAAATGAACTGGCGGCGGCGGCAGGGCCGGCGCCCGGGCCTTTGCGCTTTGCGCTCCGTGGCCCTGACATCCCCCAGCCCCTCCCTCCGGCCTGGCCCCCGCCAGATCCCTTGGCGCCACCGGGTGCTGTCACCCTTCTGTCTGTCACCCCTCTCTGCACACACCCCAGGGGCTTCCCATCTCCCGGAAATCCCCGATCCTTCTGAGCTCCGCTTTCCTAACCGCGGAAGGCCGAACCTTCCACTCCATTTTCTGAACTTAGTCTCCTCTTCTCCAGGCTGCTCTGTGTGTTGGGGCCACGTGCAAACTTCAGGGAAGGGCCACGGCCCTCACCAGCCCCCTCTGCGGACTCGTTTTCTTCTTAGAAGGCGGCGCCCGGCCTCTTGGCTTTCTAGGAGTCTGGGAGCAAGAGGGCAAGGGGAGGCTTAGGCCCATCTCGTTTTCCGGCTGGCCTGGTGCCCAGAGACCATGTCTAGTCCAGCGTCTTCACTGGATAAAAGAGGAAACCGAAGCTCAGAAAGATTAAGTGCTCGTTGGGGTGAGCTGAGACCTTCACCGGGTCTCCTGTCATCTCTCTCCCCTCGCATCTGCTCTCTTTTCTGAGGACAGGGCCTGATCTTAGTCATCTTTGAACCCCCTTCTGGTAGTATGCACGGTGCTTTGCAGCAGTCAAAGCTCAACGCATAATGGCTGAATAAATGATTGCCTGGAATTGAGCGTCCACCGAGCTCTTTCTAGGTCAGGGAGTGGGAATGGGGCTAAGGAGGAGAGGTCAGGTGGGGATGGGGGTGGCGTGGGAGCCCTTTGCTGTGTCTGTGAACTGTCACGGTCTCCTCAGCCACGCGGAAAGCAGCACACTGGTGGTGTCCGGTTGGGTCAAGCTGCAACCAGGAATTTAAGATGCCTTCCTGCTCAGTGAAGGAGGAAAAAAAATCATTGATGCTGGGATTGTTCCAAAATCTCCATTATTAGATTTTATCTGGATGAGTTTGCATTTGAATGAAAAACTGTCCACTTTGCTAAAAGCACAGTTGGAAGGTCCATCAAGTCATCTGTTTTGATCAATTACACTTATTCCTTAGCAAAGATTGGCTGTGTTTCCCACAGGCAATGCTCTTGCCGCCCATGCTGGTAACATTTTTATATGTCTCTTTAACTTAAGGGAAGAGCCTGAAGATTTCACCCTAGTGCCAAGTTCCAAATGCCCTTGGTGGAGGCTACCCAACTGGCCCCAGCTGCTTCAGAGCTGGCTGCAATCCTGTCTCCCCCCAGACCCACATCTGTCACCCTCCCCGGGGTGCCCAGTACACTAGGCTTTTCCCAGGGAGTGATTTTTATTTCTGTGAGTCGTCGCCTGTCTCCCTTAGGACACTCTAGCACATAGGGCACCTTGATGCACGTTAGAAATCGGCGCTGCCCCTGGGAATTGCAAAAGATGCTCCCCTCTGGGTGGACCAATGATAACAAGAGTCACCTTCCTCAGGACTACAGACGTGAGCTGGGGCACGTGTCTGGCACTCACGGCTTTGGCTAGTGATGCCTGGGCTAGATTTCAGGTGCCATTCCAGCCCCCTCTGCAGGGCAAGCTCCTGTGGCACACTGCACAGCTACATGTTCGGGTTCTGCCTCTGTCTCCAAAGCCTCCTCGTGAGGAAGTGAGTGGGGGGTGGACTTGCACTTGGTTACATGCATGCACACATAAATGCATAGCAGCACATGTATATACATGGTACACTGCCACATACATGCATGCACACATATACACACACACCTGCACACGTATACACATGGTACACTGTCACATGCATGCACACACACGCACAGCAGCACATGTATATACGTGACACACTGCCACATACATGCATGCACACACACACACCTGCACATGTAAACACATGGCATACTGTCACATACATACATGCACACATTCACACCTTCACATGTACATACATGCACACACACCTGCATATGTACATGTGCACAGTGCCACATAAATGCATGCACACACATACCTGCACACCTGCACACGTATGTACATGGCACACTGTCACATACATGCATGCACACACATGCACACCTACACGTATACACATGGCACAGTGCCACATACATGCATGCACACACATACACACCTGCACACGTATATACATGGCACACTGCCACATACATGCATACACAGACACCTGCACATGTACATACATGTGCACACTGCCACATACATGTGTGCACACACAATCTAGGAGAAAGAGCCCTCAAGCATACAGGGAGGCATTAGAGTGGAGCGATTAAGGGAAGGCGTTTTCGCACTGTGGGAAACAGCTCATTGAAATTAGTGCAGTTGGCAACAGAAGCACCCGGGCGGTCTTCCTTGGCCACCCTTGTCCTTTGTTGCTTCATTTTTCTCTACAGCATTCCCCAAATTACCACCGTGGATGCTGCAATTTTGCATGTGGGTCTTATTCACTGTCTCCCTCCAGTCAAACGCAAGCTCCAGGCAGGCAGGGGTTTTTCTCTCTCAAGATGAGTGCATTGGACACGGCGAGTATTATTCTGTTTTTGGACTCCGTTTCGGTTCTATGCGGACGCGTATGTGTACACTGGGAGCTGATGTAGAATGTATTTCTTGCTGTGAGATGAACAAAAAGGTTTGAAAACACGGAATTAAACCATGTTTCTGAAGCTAGACTGCCTGTGTGACATTGGGAGAAGTTATTTGACTTTTCTGAGCCTGAGTCCCCTCATCTGTAAACTGAGGCTAATAAGCACCTCTTCTCTCCTGCTGTTGATATGAGAAATAAATGGGTCATATTTCTAAAGCGTTTTGGACGGGTCCTGGCACGTAGGAAGCACCCATAAGTGTTAATTAACCACTACTACAGGTCATTTTTCTTTGAGTTGCTTCTTCTTTCTTTTTCTTTTTTGTCGAGACAGAGTCCCGCTCTGTCACCTAGACTGGAGTGCAGTGGCGTCATCTCGGGTCACTGCAACCCCTGCCTCCTGGGTTCAAGTGATTCTCCTGCCTCAGCCTCCTGAGTAGCTGGGATGACAAGAGTGTGCCACTACGCCTGGCTAATTTTTGTATTTTAGATGAGATGGGGTTTCACCATATTGGCCGGGCTGGTCTTGAACTCCTGACCTCAGGTGATCCGCCTGTCTCGGCCTCCCAAAGTGCTAGGATTACAGGCCTGAGCCACTGTGCCCAGCTGAGTTGCTTCCTCAGAGCTTCCCACTCCCCAGTCATTCTGGATCGCAGATGGTTTGGTTTTCCGTGGTGCATGTGGCTGGTACAATGGCTCACACCTGTAATTCTAGCACTTTGGGAGGCTGAGGTGGGAGGACTGCTTGAGGCTGGGAATTTGAGACCAGCCTGGGCGATACAGTGAGACCCCATTTCTTTCTTTCTTTTCTTTTCTTTTTTTTTTTTTTTGAGATGGAGTCTCACGGTGTTGCCCAGGCTGGAGTGCAGTGGTGCCATCTGGGCTCCCTGCAAGCTCTGCCTCCTGGGTTCACACCATTCTCCTGCCTCAGCCTCCTGAGTAGCTGGGACTACAGGTGCCCGCCACCACGCCTGTCTAATTTTTTGTATTTTTAGTAGAGACAGGGTTTCACCGTGTTAGCCAGGATGATCTCGATCTCCTGACTTTGTGATCCGCCCATCTCAGCCTCCCAAAGTGCTGGGATTACAGGCGTGAGCCACCGCACCCGGTGAGACCCCATTTCTAAGAAAAAAAGAATCAGTCAGTTGTGGTGGTGTGAACCTATAGTCCCAGCTACTCAGGAGGCTGAAGTGGGAGGATCACTTGAACCCAGGAGGTCGAGGCTTCAGTGAGCTATGATTGTGCCACTGCACTCCAGCCTGGGTGACAGAGCGAGTCCCTGTCTCTAAAAAATATGAATGAATAAGATACGTGTTTCCCCCTCCCAGCAAGGCTCTGACTCTTTCTAGAACCTTTCAGGCAGCAGGGCAGGACTCAAGGCAGAGGTCATCTTGGCTCATGAGTCTCTTTTTGCTGGATTGGCCTCCACCAGCAATCACACTCATTATCTGCATTCAGAGGTCCTTAAGGTCAGGTTTTATTGGGCAATCCAGGCTTTGCCTTAGTCTCAGGGTTTCAGAGAGAGAACACGTGAGGCCTCACCTACAGAGGCCCAGAAGCAGAGGTGAAAAGGGCCTCCATTTCCTTTTAGATGAGGGGCAGATTCCTAAGCCAAAACACATTTCGGCTTTTTTGTCCGCGCACGATAGCAACATCAGAGTGTAAATAAGTTAGTCTGCCAATTCGCTTAGTATCTTCCTTCTAGTACCTTGTAGCCTTGCTTGGTACCAGGAAAGACAAAGACCAGGCCGTGTTGGTGTGGTGAGGAGTGAGGGGACGGGCAGAGCCAGGATCAGCTGTGTTGGGTGGTGCGTGCTGTGAAGTCAGGCCTGCCTCTCCCCAGGTGTGAGACCACCGGCCAGCCACTGACCCTTCCAAGCCTCCGTCTCTGACAGATGGGAATAATAAACGTCGCTAACCCTAAGGGCTTACTTTTGCCAGCTCCTGTTCTGAGCACTTCGTATGCTTTAATTCATGGATTCCACAGAGCACCTTCGGGAGACAGGCACTGATAGGGTTTGGCTCTGTATCCCCACCCAAATCTCATCTCGAATTGTCATCCCCACGTGTCGAGGGAGGGACCTGGTGGGAGGCGACTGGATCATGGGGCGGTTTCCCCCGGGCTGTTGTCCTGATCACGAGGGGAGTTCTCATGAGATCTGGTGGTTTTAAAGCGTTTGGAAGTTTCCCCCGCAGGCTTGCTTGCTCTCCTGCCGCCTTGTGAAGAAGGTGGTTGCTTTTCCTTTGCCTTCCGCGGTGATTGTAAGTTTCCTGAGGCCTCCCCAGCCTTGGGGAACTGTGAGTCAATTAAACCTCTTTCCTTTATAAATTACCCAGTCTCGGGTAGTTCTTTACAGCAGTGTGAACACGGACAAATACAGGTGCTGTTATTATTTCCATTTTCCATGAGAATCACGAGGCCTGGAGAACTTCAATAACATTGCCCATGGTCACCCAGCTTATAAGTAGCCCTTAGGATTTGAAGCCAGGCAGTCTGGCTTCCAGGTCCATGCTTTCGCACACCAAGCTGTACCGCCTCAAATATTAGTACTTCCCTCTCAGGATAGTTACGAAGATTAAATGCAAGAGAATAATTAAAGAGTGTAGCAGAACACCTGGCGTAGAGTGACGATGGAGGGTATTCGTGTCTCTGTGTGTGTGTGTGTGTGTGTGTTGTTACTGATTTTTTGTTTGTTTGAGATGGAGTCTTCTGAGTAGCTGAGATTACTGGTGCCCGCCACCAAGCCCGGCTAATTTTTATATTATTTATTTTTTTGAGATGGAGTATGGCTCTTGTCACCCCGGCTGGTGTGTAATGGCAAGATCTCGGCTCACTGCAACCTCCGCCTCCTGAGTTCAAGCAATTCTCCAGCCTCAGCCCCCCGAGTAGCTGGGATTACAGGTGCCCGCCACCACACCCGGTTACTTTTTGTATTTTTAGTAGAGACGGGGTTTCGCCATGTTGTCCAGGCTGGTCTTGAACTCGTGACCTCAGGTGATCTGCCTGACTCGGACTCCCAAAGTGCTGGGATTACAGGTGTAAGCCACTGTCCCTGGCCTATTTTATTTTAAGACAGGGTCTTACTCTGTTGCCCAAGCTGGAGTGCAGTGGCATGAACACAGCTCACTGCAGCCTCCACCTCCTAGGCTCAAGCGATCCTCCCACCTCAGCCTCCCATGTAGCTGGAACTATAGGCACATGCCACGAGCCGGCTAATTTTTAATTTTTTGTAGAGACGGGGTCTCACTATGTTCCCCAGGCTCGTCTAGAACTCCCGGGCTCAAGTGATCCTCGCTCCTTGGCCTCCACAAGTGCTGAGATTACAGATATGAGCCACCACACTTGGCCCTGAGACTTTTTATTTTTAATCTTTATGGGAAATGAATTTCCTACTAAGTAGTCATGTTACCTGAACCTGATTCATCTGTAACCTGATGGGTTTTCTGCCCTTCCCATCAGTGACTAATGAGATTGTTGCTCTAGGAAGAATTCCTTGTGTTCAGTGGATGTCTGAGTAACTTAATTTGAAGGATTGAATTTTCAGCCTCAGCTGTGATAGAGTAATTTTTTCCCATCCCTATTGTGAAGAGATATTAAGAAGCCATTTGAGGCCGGGCGCGGTGGCTCACGTACGCCTGTAATCCCAGCACTTTGGGAGGCCGAGGTGGGTGGATCACTTGAGGTCAGGAGTTCGAGACCAGCCTGGCCAACATGGTGAAACCCCGTCTCTACTAAAAATACAAAAATTATCCGGGCAGAGTGGCACATACCTGTAATCCCAGCTACTTGGGAGGCTGAGGCAGGAGAATTGCTTGAACCCGGGAGGCAGAGGTTGCAGTGAGCCGAGATCACGACTCTGCACTCCAGCTTGGTGACAGGGTGAAACTCCGTCTCAGAAAAAAAGATGGGATCCTCCATGGTGCTGTTATCGTTACTCTTCCTCGATGGTGTCTTTATTGTTGCTGTTATAAGTCCAGGAATTTTCAGTTGGCTAAACCAGGCTACTGCTTATATTTGAATCTCTCCAGGTAATAAAGTTTCCCAAGCTTATTTGTTTGCCTTTCTCTCCTTTTTTACTTACCGCTGTCCCTACTCCAGAGGTGTTTTGCATCTTCAGAGGAAGACAACCTTTCCAGGTCCCCTGGGGTCCCTGATGCTTCCCCGTCAAGCCCTGTCTCTCTTGGCGTCTGCAAAGCCACCATCTGGCTTCTTATATTCTGTTTTCTACGCAGATCCTTTCTGCCATTGCTCATTCCATCCGGCGTCTTTTCCCGTGCCCTTTCTGGCGTTTGAAGAGCCCTCCCGCCTTGACTTCCCCAAACCAGCCCCCAAACCAACCCCTCCTTTAAGGGCTGATTTTCCGTGGAACCTGGGATTGGTCGATAGGGGTTTGCTGTATATGACAAAACTGAAAAAAAGTAGCTTAAACAAGATAGAGGCTTATTTATCTCACATGTAACAGAATTCCAGCGGCCAGCAGTCCGGCCGAGAGTATGGTGACTCCATGATCATCAGGAATGGAGGCTTTTCAGTCTTTCTGCTTCTCTGTCCTCAAGCTCACCTCCTGGTCCGAAATAGCTGCTGGAGATCCAGCCATCACATTCACATTTCAGGCAGGAATTAGAAGAATGGGAAGAGGAGCGTAAGAGTGAGTGGTGGCTGTTTGTCTGCCTTTTAAGGCACTTTCCTGGGAACCTCTCTTGACAGTTTCTGTTTTTATCTCCTTAGTCACCTCGAGGTATAAGAGAGGCTGGGAAATGCAGTATTTTATCTGGGTGTATGGCCACCTCAAGTAAAATAGGGGCTCTGTTACAAGGAAAAATAGAAGAATTGATATTGCGTAGGCAGCTAGTGGCCTCTGGCACAGCCTTTTCCAACGACTCCAACCCATCTTGCGGTTCTTAGAGCGGGCCCCACACGGCACAATTGTCTTATTATTATGCCATCTATTAATTTATTGAGTCAGTAAACAAATAACAACGGAGCCACGGCCCTGTGCAAGGCAGTAGCCTTTTACATGTTTACTGTGAAGAGCTGCTCTCAAACTGAGTGGTTAGCTGACTCCTGGAAAGCGGGGACCGTCGTTTAGACCCCTTTTCTCTCCCACAACAGTATCTTTCACAGGGCTGGGCTCATGGCCGGCACTCGATAAGTTCCTGGTTGATTTTAGAATAGTCACGAATGAGAAGTTCAGTGAAAAAAATACATTCCCTGCCTTGGTTTACTGTGCTGGAAAATGCTGGTTGTGTAAGGTTCGTTTTTAGCTTGTTCTGGTTTTGAGGAACCCATTGCAAGGAGGGTGGGGAGTGGGTCACCTCCAAACATCAGGGCTGTGTTGTAGTCACAGGGACTCGTCGTCCAGGTGTTGGGGCAGATTTGGCTGTTTTGGAAACTGGGCTCTGTATACCATACTAGAATCATAAGCAGAAATCCCCGTGACCACCTGACTTTGCACCACCGCTCTGTGTAGCTGTATTTACACCACGTGAGTCTGTCCTGTTATTTCTGCACCGCGTAGCTGCAGAGTAAATCTGCAAGTCTTTCCGCAGCGATCCTGTTCCTGTCTTCCCATTCGACGCTCGCTACAGTCGGCCTGAGATAACACTGTCTGAGGGGAGGCTGCCTGGACCTCACGTCGCGTTTTTCAACTGCTGAGAAAAATGATTACTTTAAATTTTTTTTTTTTTTAGACGGAGTCTCGCTCTGTCGCCCAGGCTGGAGTGCAGTGGTGTGATCTTGGTTCACTGCAAGCTCTGCCTCCGGGATCCACACCATTCTCCTGTCTCAGCCTCCCGAGTAGCTGGGACCACAGGCGCCCGCCACCACGCCCGGCTAATTTTTTGTATTTTGAGTAGAGATGGGATTTCACCATGTTGGCCAGGCTGGTGTCGATCTCCTGACCTCGTGATCCGCCCGCCTCCGCCTCCCAAAGTGCTGTGATTACAGGCGTGAGCCACCGCGCCCGGCCACTTTAAAATTTTTATTGACACAGAGCTGGGAAGGAACTAGAGTATAAAGATACTCCAGTACCTACTCTCTGCAAAGCACTAGGTCAAGTGCTTTACCTACGCTGTCACGTTGAATTTTTAGAACAGCCTCCTATTGGGCAGATGGGGAGACTGAGGCTCTGACTGGTCCACCAGCAAGCCCAAGATCTCTTAGTGCTAAGTGGTGGGGTTATTCTTTCCTCAGTTTTAAAAATCAATTATTTTATTTTATTTTTTTGGGGCATGGAGTCTCGCTGTGTCGCCCAGGCTGGAGTGCAGTGGGGCAATCCCGGCTCACTGTAACCTCCGCCTCCTGGGTTCAAGCAATTCTCCTGCCTCAGCCTCCTGAGTAGCTGGGATTACAGGCGAGGGCCACTGTGCCTGGCTAACTTTTGTATTAGTCTGAGATTTTAATGGGAGGCTGGTCACATAGGCACATCGTGCTATACAACCAGCCATGGCAAGAAAAAATAAGGACCGCAAAAATGAAATAAATCCAGATGCACATCATCAGTCTTGACGGCTTATGCAAAGGAAAATGATCAGCCTTACAGGATGGTTCATTGCTGCAGGTGCAAGGTTATTAAATCACTAACATAGTGAGAAGGATCCTCCTTGTCACCCATGAGCCAGGTGTGTGAGGCCATGGCTGGGCGTGGTGGCTCACACCTGTAATCCCAGCACTTTGGGAGGCCAAGGCAGGCGGACCATTTGAGCTCAGGAGTTTGAGACCTGCCTGGTCAACATGGTGAAACCCCATCTCTACTAAAAAAAACAAAAATTATCCAGGCGTGGTGGCAGGCACCTGTAATCCCAGCTACTCGAGAGGCTGAGGCAGGATAATTGCCTGAACCCAGGAGGCAGAGGTTGCAGTGAGCCGAGATCGCGCCACTGCACTCCAGCCTGGACAACAGAGTGAGACTCTGTTACAAACAAACAAACAAACAAACAAACAGATAGAAAAGGATACTAGAATTAAGCACCATGCAAACCTATTGTGTTCCTGATGTCATTGACCTAGTAGTATATTAACTTCATTTGTGAGGGTGGAAGGCCTAAAGATCTGATTGCTCAGCTCTCTGAAAAACGCGATTTCCTTGGGGATTTTGCACATTTGGAATGTATAAGGAATTCAGAGAAGTCTAGAAGTACACTGCAGTTTTCCAAGGTCTCTGTTCACTGGACTTGGGGGCCCATCTTGGTGACCTACTCATCACTTACAGCATTATTTCAAATCATAAAGAACAGACTCATCGGCCAAAGTTTGAAATCGTCCATTTGTAATTTGGGGACAGCTGACTATAATGAGATGGTTTTGGCATGCCGAATGTTGAGCAGAAGTGTAGGTTACACACATACTTTAATCAGTATGTTCCCATGAGACTAAGGATCATTCTTCTCATTCTATATTAACAAGTCTAGAGACATTGAGTCACTGGTCTGTAGTCACACAGCTCACAAAGGACAGAGCCAGGATTGGAACACAGCTCTTTCTGGGGCCAAAGTTATTCTCTACTCCAGCTCACCACTAACTGTTAACCTCTCCAGACTATAGCTTTTCACTTTAAAATAAGGTGACTGGACTAGATAATTTTCCCGACAGACCTAAATTTTATGGACGCCAGTAAGTTAAATGAGCTGGGACTACGTACCAAGTAAGGTTAAGAGCCTGGCTTTGAATCAGAGAAACTGGGTTTGGATCCAGGCTGTAGCCACTTGTTATTTTGTGTCCTTAACCAAGTTAATTCACCTGTCTATAAGCTTATTTTCTTTTCTATACAATGGGGATCATTGTACCTCACTTGGTGTTGCAAAGGTTAAATGAAATAATGTAGCATGGGGTCCGGCATGTGGTGAGCTCCGTATAAATGAAAACAGCTACTGGTGTGATGATCAAGAGCATGCTGTCCGAGGTAGCGGATTACTTGAAGTCAGGAGTTCGAGGCCAGCCTGGCCAACATGGTGAAACCCCGTCTCCACTAAAAATACAAAAATTAGTCGGGCGTGGTAGCACGTTCCTGTAATGCCAGCACTTTGGGAGGCCGAGGCGGGCGGATCACCTGAGGTCAGGAGTTCAAGACCAGCCTGGCCAACATGGTGAAACCCCGTCTCTGCTAAAAATACAAAAATTAGCTGAGCATGGTGGCACGTGCCTGTAATCCCAGCTACTCAGGAGGCTGAGGCAGGAGAATCGCTTGAACCTGGGAGGTGGAGGTTGCAGTGAACTGAGATTGCACCACTGCACTCCAGCCTGGGCCACAGAGCAAGACTCCGTCTCAAAAAAACAAAACAAAATAAATAAGAGCACGCTGTCTAGGACCACATTGCCTGGGTTCGATTCACGGCTCTGCCACTTAACTGCTATGTGACCTTGAGCAAATTCCTCAACCTTTTTGCACCTCAGTGTTTATATTTGTAGGCTAGGGGACGATGATAATATAATATCAATAGTCAAGTAAGTTGGCGTGAAGGTTAAATAAGTCAATATGTATATAACATACCTTGAACCAGACCTGACACATGGTAACCACTCAGTACGTGTTGGTTAATTTTATGATTATCCCCACTGTTACTAGTTTGGCCATGCTTCTTGCTGAAATAGACTATAAAGGTGAAACATGGTATCTTGCTCATCTTGTTGCCTGGTCATAACCTTAATTGAAACTGAAAATCCTGTAATTTGAATAATCCAAGAGCTGGAACAGCGAAGCATCCAATTACAGACGCGTCACGGCTGCAGCCTTGGGGGGGACGGTGAGGCGGCCGCACTGTGCTCTGGGGTTGGGGTCCTATTACGGAGAAAGCCTCGTTTTGTAGGCAGCTGCCTCGCCTTCTGTTTGGCTGCATAATTGCGCCTTTCCGTTTTATTTTAAAGCATCTTGAGGAATCCAGAGCCCACTCCTGCTGACAGCAGGGAAAGCCGCCGCATGTCCCATCTCTAATGAGCCTCCATGATGCTCTGTGGCCCCACCTAGGCAGCAGGCTGGGCTGGCATCCGCTGGCTCTCTGAGCACAGCTCACCATGCTGGGCTTCATTATGGGGCTCCCTGAACACCCCTAGGATCCCCCCACGCCTGTCCTCATTGTCTCAGAGGGCACAGAGTGGCTTCCTGAATGCCGAGCTTGTTGGTAACCTTTGTGGGCTGGCAGTGAGCACGCAGAAATTAATTATTCATATCAATGGGCTGAAGGAGCTGTTGTTCACTGAGGTGACTCCCCTTTGGCCACCAGACCCAGAGTTCCCCAGGGTCTTTAGACAGGCAGAGGACAGCGCAGTCCTTAGAGACAGCTGCAACAGCAGGGTGGCACGTGGCCGGCCCCAGGCTAAGTGCAGTCTGCTGATGTGCTTTGTTTGGGCTACAGAGGGTTAAAACAAAATTGGATCCATTTAAAACCAGGTTTTACCTAGCAATCTGGATTTCTGGATTTTCTTGAAAGATGGGAAGATGGGCAATGTGAATGGGAGGCATTAGTTAGAGCCGACGGGCCCCTTCAGGCTGGACGTGATTTTGCCAATGGCGTCAGCTTTCCTCTGGCCCCTTTCTCCACTTCTGACGTGAGAGGAGTGAGTCTAGTGCAGGGAACAGAGGAAGACTCGGAGCTGGGTTTGCGGCTGCCTCTGCTACTCACTCCTGCGTGACTCTAGGCAAATGACACAGCCCCTGTGGGCCCCGCTCTCCTCCTCTGGAGCAGGGGGTTATAACAGCTTCCCTACCTCGCAGATTTGTGAGAACTGAGCAAGTTGATATAAGGGCTGAGCCTGGCACATAGTAAGTTCTATTTAGGTGTTCAGTTTCTTTCTTTTTTTTTTTAGTATTTATTGATCATTCTTGGGTGTTTCTCGGAGAGGGGGATTTGGCAGGGTCATAGGACAATAGTGGAGGGAAGGTCAGCAGATAAACAAGTGAACAAAGGTCTCTGGTTTTCCTAGGCAGAGGACCCTGCGGCCTTCCGCAGTGTTTGTGTCCCTGGGTACTTGAGATTAGGGATTGGTGATGACTCTTAACGAGCACGCTGCCTTCAAGCATCTGTTTAACAAAGCACATCTTGCACCGCCCTTAATCCATTTACCCTGAGTGGACACAGCACATGTTTCAGAGAGCACGGGGGTTGGGGGTAAGGTCACAGATCAACAGGATCCCAAGGCAGAAGATTTTCTCCCAGTACAGAACAAAATGGAGTCTCCTATGTCCACCTCTTTCTACACAGACACAGCAACAATCCGATTTCTCCTTCTTTTCCCCACATTTCCCCCTTTTCTATTCGACAAAACCGCCATCGTCATCATGGCCCGTTCTCAATGAGCTGCTGGGTACACCTCCCAGACGGGGTGGCGGCCGGGCAGAGGCTGCACTCTGGGCACTTTGGGAGGCCAAGGCAGGCGGCTAGGAGGTGGAGGTTATAGTGAGCCGAGATCACGCCACTGCACTCCAGCCTGGGCACCATTGAGCACTCAGTGAACGAGACTCCGTCCGCAATCCCGGCACCTCGGGAGGCCGAGGCTGGCAGATCACTCGCGGCTAGGAGCTGGAGACCAGCCCGGCCAACACAGCGAAACCCCGTCTCCACCAAAAAAATACGAAAACCAGTCAGGCATGGCAGCGCGCGCCTGCAATCGCAGGCACTCGGCAGGCTGAGGCAGGAGAATCAGGCAGGGAGCTTGCAGTGAGCCGAGATGGCAGCAGTACAGTCCAGCTTCGGCTCGGCATCAGAGGGAGACCGTGGAGAGAGAGGGAGAGGGAGAGCTCTTTCTTTTCTTTTTTTTTTTTTTGAGACAGAGTCTTGCTCTGTCACCCAGGCTAGAGTGTAGTGGGGAGATCTAGGCTCACTGCAATCTCTGCCTCCTGGGTTCAAGTGATTCTCCTGCCTCAGCCTCCTGAGTAGTTGGGACTACAGGCACACACCATCACGCCTACCTAATTTCTGTATGTTTTGTAGAAATGGGGTTTTGCCATGTTGCCCAGGGTGGTCTTAAACACCTGGACTCAAGCAATCTGCCTGCCTCCACCTCCTAAAGTGCTGGGACTATAGGCGTGAGCCACCCCACCTGGTCAAGAGCAATACTTTTTTGGTCTGAGTATTTTATTTGGAGAGAAATAGAACTTGGCCATTGAGCTTATATACACCGAGATAGCTGCCACATTACAGGGAAAAACTATGTACAATCAAATATATATATTTTTTTCTTTGAGGTGGAGTTTCGCTCTTGTTGCCTAGGCTGGAGTGCAGTGGCACGATCTTGGCTCGCTGCAACATCCGCCTCCCAGGTTCAAGCGATTCTCCTGCCTCAGCCTCCCGAGTAGCTGGGATTACAGGCATGTGCCACTACGCCTGGCTAATTTTGTATTTTTAGTAGAGATGGGGTTTCTCCATGTTGGTCAAGCTGGTCTCGAACTCCTGACGTCAGGTGATCTACCTGCCTCAGCCTCCCAAAGTGCTGGGATTACAGGCATGAGCCACTGCACCCGGCCAGGATCAGAATTTTTATATTCAAATCTTAAATCTCTCCTTTATATTCCTTTAAATTGCTATTAACTGTAGATATTCAGCATTGTTAGGGTAATTTAAACTTGTTAAGGAATAATTTAAATATTTTGCCTAAGTCATCCCTGGGGTGGTGGTTACTCATGGAGAGGAAATATATATATATACACACACATCCTAGTATCATAGATTCCAAAAACTGATGAAAGCCAAAATAAATGTTCATTTTAGGTTGAAGGGACCTGAAGTTAGCTTATCTTTAGGTTTAAGGTGGTGGTGGGGGGCGGGGAAGTCCAAGTCCTGTGTAACATTTCACATCTCAGGCCGGGAGCGGTGGCTCATGCCTGTAATCCCAGCACTTTGGGAGCCCGAGGCGGGTGGATCACAAGATCAGGAGTTCGAGACCAGCCTGACCAACATGATGAAACCTCTTCTCTACTAAAAATACAAAATTAGCCGGGCGTGGTGGCGGGCGCCTGTAATCCCAGCTACTCGGGAGGCTGAGGCAGGAGAATCACTTGAACCCGGGAGGCGGAGGATGCAGTGAGCCGAGATTGTGCCATTGCACTCCAGCCTGGGCGATAGGGCGAGACTCGGTCTCAAAAAACAAAAAACAAACCATTTCACATCTCTCCAAAATAGAAACAGCACCTTAGACTGCCTTGTTTTCACAGTTTTGTCGCTTTGGAACCATAGAGTCTGTCATCTTTGAAGAAGTGAAATCACTGTGGGGTTAAGACAGTATCTTTGCACAGTTTGCGTGCAATCTCTGAGAAGCTAGCACAGAAGGACTTAGGAGTTAAGACCGTAACCTTTGGCCGGGCGTGGTGCCTCACGCCTGTAATCCCAGCACTTTCGGAGGCCGAGGCGGGTGAGTCACGAGGTCAGGAGTTTGAGACCAGCCTGACCAACATGGTGAAACCCCGCCTCTACTTAAAAAAATACAAAAATTAGCCGGGCATAGTGGCATGCACCTGTAATCCAAGCTACTCAGGAGGCTGAGGCAGGAGAATGGTGTGGATCTGGGAGGCGGAGGTTGCAGTGAGCCGAGATTGCACCCCTGCACTCCAGCCTGGGGGACAGAGCGAGACTCCGTCTCAAAAAAAAGACTGTGACCTTCAAGCTCTGCAGCCTTAATTCACACCAAATAGTACCTGCTTAGTCACCTAAACTATGGCCACGTCTTCCTGCTCTTTGGATGCCCCTTAGTTTGCTAGTTGGGTCTCAAATCATGGTCTTTAGGTGAATTAATGGCCGGCACAGTGTTTGGGAGAAAAACAGAATCTGCAGCTTCACATCTCATCATTTCCTGGGCTGAGCTGTCTCCCACCCTGAGCATATTACAAAATTAACAGGTTTTAGAAGCTGAAAAGTGGAAATAACCAGCTTTCGTTTCTGGGCTGCAGCTTGTTTAGTGCCACATCTTGGAGAAAGCTCTGTGCGTGGTTAGATGGGTTGACTCTGATTGTCTGCAGCTCCATTCAAGGATTTGTTGGGGGAATTTCACACTCCTTTAGCTGTTTGGTAAAAGGGTGAAAAATTTCTTAAGTCCAAATTCCCATCCCAGATACAGCTTCTCCCCAAGTATCTCTTTATCTCTCTCTCTCTTTTTTTTTTTTAGACAGTGTCTCACTCTGTTGCCCAGGCTGGAGTGAAGTGGAGAGATTTTGGCTCACTGCAACCTCCAACTTCTGGGCTCAAGCGATTCTCCTGTCTCAGCCTCCCAAGTAGCTGAGATTACAGGCGTCCGCCACCACACTTGGCTAATTTTGTACTTTTAGTAAAGATGGAGTTTTTCCATGTTGATCAGGCTGGTCTCAAACTCCCGACCTCAGGTGATCTGCTGGCCTCGGCCTCCCAAAGTGCTGGGATTACAGGCGTGAGCCACCATGCCCGGCCAATTTTTGTATTTTTAGTAGAGACGAGGTTTCACCATGTTGGCCAGGCCAGTCTCGAGCTCCTGACCTCAAATGATCCGCCCGCCTCAGCCTCTCAGAGTGCTGGGATTACAGGTGTGAACCACTGTGCCTGGCGTCTCTTTTTGTTTTGTTTTGTTGTTGTTTTTTTTTCTCTTTTGAGACAGTGTCATGGTCTATTGCCCAGGCTGGAGAGCAGTGGCATGATCAGGGCTCACTGCAGCCTCAAACTCCTGTGCTCAAGCGAGCCTCCCACTTCAGCCTCTCAAGTAGCTGGGACCACAGGCATGTACCACCACACCTGGCTAATCCTTATAAAACTTTTGTAGAGATGAGGTCTTGCTCTGTTGCCCAGGCTGGTCTCGAACTCCCAGACTCGAGAGATCTTCCTGCCTTGGCCTCCCAAAGTACTGGGACTATAGGCGTGAGCCACCATGCCCAGCCTCTTTGTATCTCAGTTTAACACTGTTTCATTCTTCTTCTTGTTATAGTAATTTTTTTTTTTTTCGAGATGGGGTCTTGCTCTTGTCGCCTAGGCTAGAGTGCAGCGGTGCAATCTCGGCTCACTGCAACCTCCACCTCCCGAGTTCAAGCAATTCTTGTGCCTCAGCCTCCCGAGTAGCTGGGATTACAGGCTTGTGCCACCACACCAGGCTAATTTTTTGTATTTTTAGTAGAGACGGGGTTTCACCATCTTGGCCAGGCTGGTCTCAAACTCCCGACCTCAAGCAATCAGCCTGCCTTGGCCTCTCGAAGTGCTGGGATTACAGGCATGAGCCACCGTGGCCGGCCTTGTTACAGTAATTTACATATTGTTCCCACCTTGCTAGCATTGCTGAAGGCAGATACCACCTTATGGCAGTAAAGGATGCAGGTTCTGGGGTCAGACTGCCCACGTTTGAACCTCAGCTCTACCCCTTACTAGCTGTGAGGATTTAAAAACGTTATTTCACGTCTCTGTGCCTTGGATATCTTATCTGTAAAATGGATGTGTTAATAGTGTCTATTTCCTGGAATGTTGTGGGGATTAATGAGGAAATCTATGGTAAAAAAATCACGGTGAATAATCAATCAATAATGACTCCTATGATTCACGCTTTGTTTTCTAAGCACCTGCCACAGGACCTGGAATAATTTAGATAAGGACTGACTGCAAGTCAGACACCTCTGCAGGAACAGCAGAAGAAGATCGATTTTTGGTGGCTAGCTCCACTGAAATGGAATCCCACTGGGTCAGAGCAAAACCTGGAATCCATATTTTTATTTATTTTTCATTATTTATTTATTTATTTATTTATTTATTCATTTTTTTGAGACGGAGCCTCACTCTGTCGCCCAGGCTGGAAAGAAGTGGAGAGATTTCTGCTCACTGCAACCTCTGCCTCCTGGGCTCAAGCAATTCTCCTGCCTCAGCCTCCTGAGTAGCTGGGACTATGGGCGTCTGCCACCACGCCTGGCTAATTTTTGTATTTTTTAGTAGAGACGGGGTTTCACCATATTGGACAGGCTGGTCTCAAACTCCTGACCTCATGATCCGTCCGCCTTGGCCTCCCAAAGTGCTGGGATTATAGGCGTGAGCCACCACGCTCGGCCAGGAATCTCTGTTTTTAACAAGCTCGGGAGATTTTTCAGCAGCCAGTCCAGCACCCCAGAGTTTGGCAGGCTTTGCCAAGTGCTTGATATGAGGTGGTAAATGTCTGGCACCTTTAAAATATAGGGCCCTTTCCGTCCATCTGGCCCTACAGGTTGATGTTAAAAGGATGCAAAAATACGGTTCTAAATGTCCTTAAGAGGCTAAGGTTGGTCTAAGCAAAGCATGGAGGAAAAAGCCCTTTTGAGTTTGTGTGTGAGTAGATAGGAGTTGCCAGTTGGTTGATAAAGTGATAAAGTAATCCTTTTGTGTTAGGAGCCAGGAAGCAGAGAGAGAGGAAACAGCCCAAAGTGATTTTTGGCTTGAGAGCAAACACAATAGCAGAAAGCTGAGTGACACCTGGACGATAGTGCAGAGAAGCTGAGTGACACCTGGACGATAGTGCAGACAAGCTGAGTGATACGCGGACAATAGCATGGAGAAACTGAGTGACACCTGGACGATAGTGCAGAGAAGCTGAGTGACACCTGGACGATAGTGCAGACAAGCTGAGTGATACGCGGACAACAGCATGGAGAAACTGAGTGACACCTGGACGATAGTGCAGAGAAGCTGAGTGATAACGTGGACGATAGTGCGGAGAAGCTGGGTAGCAGAGATGGGGTTTCACCATGTTGGCCAGGCTGGTCTTGAACTCTTGACCTCAGGTGATTCACCCACCTCGGCCTCCCAAAGAGTTGGGATTACAGGTGTGAGCCACGGCGCCCGGCTTAGGTCAGAACTTTCTACGCAGGTAAAAAGTGACAGCCCCCACAGTACCAACACAGCTGGGCTGAGCTTCCGCCTCTCTAGATTCTGTTACTTTCTACCTCTACTTTCTCCCTGTCTCTCTAAGAGATCAGCCGTCACTAATTTAGTGCTTTACTAATTTAGGTGTCTTTGCCATGAAAGATATGTGTTTTCTTTTTTTAATTTGTTGGAGGTTCTGAAGGCACTTTGGCATATGTATCTGTTTTCTTCAGCAGCAAAGATCATCGTGGAGTTAAGATGGCAGCTTTGTTGTGATTCGTAAATTTGCTGAATTTGTAAATAACTGGGGATACCTGCTGGACTTTGATAAATGCAACTTTTTCCAGTGCTTAAAAGAATTGCTGCAGAAAATTTAGAGTGATTATACCTCCAAACTGCTCAATGAAAAAGGTCAACAAAACAGTATAATTATCTATGTATATGTGTAACTCGTATGTGTGTGGGGTGTCCACGTCACCAAGTATTAGAAAGTTAAGAGAGAAGGATGTGGACAATAAAACACCACCCACTTCAAAGCAGGTGCAGAGAGTAAGGCATTGTATGTCTGATTTTATGACCACGAGAGGTCAGTTCTGGGCTACCATAAACTCTATCTGGAAGAAAGGGATTCAGGCACCATTCAAGCAAACTTTGGCTGAGCATGGTGGCTCACTGGGAGGCCGAGACAGGTGAATCACCTTAGTCCAGGAGTTCGAGACCAGCCTGGCCAACATGGCAAAACCCTGTCTCTATTAAAAATACAAAAATTAGCTAGGCGTGGTGGCGCATGCCTGTAATCCCAGCTACTTGGGAGGCTGAGGCAGGAAAATGGCTTGAACCCAGGAGGTGGAGGTTGCGGTGAGCCGAGATCACACCACTGCACTCCAGCCTGAAGGACAGAGTAAGACGGTCTCAAAAAAAAAAAGAAAGAAACAAACAGGTTAAAAGAGAAGGATGTGAACAATAAAACACCACCCACTTCAACGCAGCTGCAGAGAGTAAAACACTGTATGTCTGATTTTATGACTGTAAGTTCCAGGCTCCCATGAACTCTATCAATTCCAAGCTCCCATGAACTCCATCCGGAAGAAAGGGATTCAGGCACCATGAAGGCAAACTTTATTGGCACCTGCATTGAGCCGAGCAGTGAACCAAGGGAAAGAGTTCAAAATTCTGCTTCAGGAGCCTTCAGTGTAACTGTGGTACTAGGCTAGCAAACAGGTGTTCACTACATACATGTATGTACAAGAGAGACCCATACTAAGCACTTGCCGTCTTTAACTGACTTGGCAGGCACAAAGCAGGCTTTTTTTTTTTTTTTTTGAGACGGAGTCTCACACTCTCACCCAGGCTGGAGCGCAGTGGCATGATCTCGGCTCACTGCAAGCTCCACCTCCCGGGTTCATGCCATTCTCCTGCCTCAGCCTCCCGAGTAGCTGGGACTACAGGCGCCCGCCACCACACCCGGCTAATTTTTTGTATTTTTAGTAGAGATGGGGTTTCACCGTGTTAGCCAGGATGGTTTCGATCTCCCGACCTCGTGATCCGCCCGCCTCGGCCTCCCAAAGTGCTGGGATAAGAGGCGTGAGCCACTGTGCCCGGCCGGCAGCTCCCTCTTGAACCTCTCCCTTACAGAGTCAACAAGGGAGCAGTGGTCAGCACTTCTCTACCGCGACGTTAGCAGAGAACTCGAATCTCATTAGTAGCAAGGACTTCTCTGCCACAGATGTGGCTCTGAGACTGGTTCTTCACAGGCTGACAGGGGACCGTGGCATGCAGTGATGGTGTGGGAATCACCCGATCGAGACGCAGCACATGCTGCTGCTGTTCCTGGAGAGGAGAATGTCAATTCCTCAGCTGGCCAAGGGCACTTCACACTGGGGTGCCCTGCGTTGCTGCTCCTGACACCTAGTTCCTTCGGGTCACAGGCAGAGCTGCCTCCTGTGTGTCAGTTGCCCAGGAAGGCCAGGAAGAACAAGTTCTAGTATCCACCATTTCCTTTCCACCCAGGGACTCATCTGGGGGTCGAGCAACTTCTCTTTTATAAACACTCATAACTCAATGGGTCTGCTACACCCTCATTCCTAGACAAGAGCAGGGAGGCCATCTCTGATATCAATGGCCCCAAAGTGGTTGATCTGGACAGGTGCGGTGGCTCCGGCCTGTAATCCCAGCACTTTGGGAGGCCGAAGCGGGTGGATCACCTGAGGTCGGGAGTTTGAGACCATCCTGGCCAACATGGTGAAACCCCATCTCTACTAAAAATACAAAAATTAGGCTGGTGCAGTGGCAGGCGCCTTGTAATCCCAGCTACTCGGGAGGCTGAGGCAGGAGAATCGCTTGAACCCGGGAGGCGGAGGTTGCAGTGAGCCGAGATCGCACCTCTGCACTCCAGCCTGGGCAACAGAGCGAGACTCTGTCTCAAAAACAAAACAACAAACAAACAAAAAACAAAGTTACTGATCTTCTAAGAGAGGCTGTGCAAGGAATTACAAAGTCATAAGGTCTGTGATTCCAACAGTTTCCTTTTTTCCCCCACTTCTCTTTTTTTTTTTTTTTTTGAGACGGAGTTTCGCTCATGTTGCCCAGGCTGGAGTGTACTGGCGCCATCTCGGCTCACTGCAACTTCCACCTCCCGAGTTCAAGCAATTCTCCTGGCTCAGCCTCCTGAGTAGCTGGGATTACAGGCGCCTGCCACCATTCCCAGCTAATTTTATATTTTTAGCAGAGATGGGGTTTCGCCATGTTGGCCAGGCTGGTCTCGAACTCCTGAGCTCAGGTGATCCGCCCGCCTCAGCCTCCCAAAGTGCTGGGATTACAGGTGTGAGCCACTGCACACGGCCAAATATATGCATTTTAAATACAAATAGATATTGTAAAATTATCCTTCAGAAAAGTTGATCCAATTTATATTCTCACCTTACTTCTTTTTGAGAGAATCTGTTCACATTTTTTTTTTTGAGACACGTCTCACTGTTGCCCAGGCTGGAGTGCCAGTGGCACAATCACAGCTCACTGGCACCCTTGAACTCCTGGGCTCAAGCAATCCTTCCACCTTAGCCTGTGGAGTAGTAGCTGGGACTATAGGCACGAACCACAATGCCTGGCTTTTTTTTTTGTTTGTTTTGAGATGGAGTCTCACTCTGTTGTCCAGGCTGGAGTGCAGTGGTGAGATCTCAGCTCACTGCCACCTCCACCTCCCGGGTTCAAGCAATTCTCCTGCCTCAGCTCCCGAGTAGCTGGGATTACAGGCGCATGCCACCACGCCCAGCTAAATTTTGTATTTTAAGTAGAGACGGGGTTTTACCATGTTGGCCAGGGTGGTCTCGAACTCCTGGCCTCAGGTGATCCACCCACCTTGGTCTCCCAAAGTGCTGGGATGACAAGCATGAGCCACCGCGCCCAGCCTAATTTTTGTATGTTTTTGTAGAGATGGAGTTTCACAAATTTCACAAAATATTTTTGGAGACATGGTGAAACCCAATATCTGGTGAGCTGGTTTGCAGACCAACTCAGGCTAGCCTCAAACTCCTGGACTCAAGCAATCCACCCACCTTGGCCATTCAAGATCAACCCATCTAACCACAAGCACAGAGCTTTCTCCAAGATGTGGCACTAAACAAGCTGCAGCCCAGAAACGAAAGCTGGTTATTTCCACTTTTCAGTTTCCAAATGCCTGTCATCCTGGCTACTCAGGAGGCTGAGACAGGAGAACCGCTTGAGCCCTGGAGTCCAAGGCTGCAAGTAAGCTGTCATAGTGCCACTGCACTCCAGCCTGGGTGGCAGAGCAAGAACCTGTCTCTAATATTAATAATAATAAATTAATGTAGTGAATCATGCAGATTGTCTAATATTGAGCTAGGCTTGTATTCCTGGGATAAACCCTGTGTGATCTAAGGGGTCAAGGGATGCTCGGTTGTGCACGCAACAACCCAGTCACGTGGCAGTTACACTATAAACGCATCAGTGTCTAACCCATCACAGTGATGTGACGTCAGTGGTCACATGAGAGCTCACTGCAGCCTCAACCTCTCTGGCTCAAGTGATCCTCCCGAGTGTGCCACCACACCCAGCTAATTTTGTTTCTCTTTTTTTTGAGACGGAGTCTCCTTCTGTCACCAGGCTGGAGGGCAGTGGCGCGATCTCAGCTCACTGCAACCGCCACCTCCTGGGTTCAAATAATTCTCCTGCCTCAGCCTCCCAAGTAGCTGGGACTACAGGTGCGCGCCACCACGCCCAGCTAATTTTTGTATTTTTTTTTTCTTTTTTCGAGTCGGAGTCTTGCTCTGGCGCCAGGCTGGAGTGCAGTGGCGCAATCTCAGCTCACTGCAACCGCCACCTCCTGGTTCAAGTGATTCTCCTGCCGCAGCCTTCTGAGTAGCTGGGACTACAGGCATGCACCACCACATCCAGCTAATTTTTCTATTTTTAGCAGAGATGGGGTTTCACCATGTTGGCCAGGATGGTCTCCGTCTCTTGATCTTGTGATCTGCCCGCCTGGGCCTCCCAGAGTGCTGGGATTACAGGCGTGAGCCGCCGCGCCTGGCCAATTTTGGTATTTTTTGTAGAGATGAAGTCTTACTATGTTGTCCAGGCTGGTCTCAAACTGCTGGGTCAAGCAGTCCTCCTGCCTTGGCCTCCCAAAGTTCTGGGATTACAGACGTGAGCCACTGCACCCAGCCAATGCATTTTCAATAGAAAAGATTCAAACGCTACTGAAATCTTGGAAATGAAGCCTGTCATTTCCTGTCACCTCTCCCCCCGACCCCACTCCTCTCTCCAGAAGGAGCCTACAGAACAGGCTGTTACAGATGATACATTCTCAGGCCTTTCACGGCATGCTTAGAAGTATTTGTATCTCATTTGTGCACTGTTTCATTTATTCTCACAACCAGAGAGGTTTGTATTATTAGCCCCCATTTGATGTATGAGAAAACTAAGGCTTAAGAATATTGGGTAATGTGCCAAAGGGCCCAGAGCTCATTACAGTCTCTTAATAATGGGGATAAAACCGGGTATGGTGGCTCAGGCCTGCAATCCCAGCACTTTGGGAGGCTGAGGTGGGCGGGTCACCTGAGGTCAGGAGTTTGAGAGCTGCCTGGCTTACATGGTGAAACCTCATGTCTACTAAAAATACAAAAATTAGCCGGGCGTGGTGGTGCACCCGTTATCCCAGCTACTTGGGAGGCTGAGGCAGGAGAATCACTTTAACCCAGGAGGCAGAGGATGCAGTGAGCCGAGATCACGCCCTTGCACTCCAGCCTGGGTGATAGCGCGAGACTCAGTCTCAAAAAAAAAAAAAAAAAAAAGAAAAAGAAAAAGAAAAGAAAAAAAGAGGTTCTGAGAAATGTGTAGATGATTTCACTGTTGTGCAAGCATCATAGTATATTTTACACAAACCTAAATACAAAAATCACCTGGCTGTATATTTCACACAAACCTAAATACTAACATACAGCCCAGGTACATAGTAGGCTCAATGGTATAGCCCACTATGTGATATAGATATGATATATGATATAGACAGCTTACTGCTCCTAGGTACGAACCTGTATAGCAGGTCACTATACTGAATACTATAGGCCGTTGTAACACAATGGAAAATGTTTGTGTATCTGAACACGTCTAAGCGTACAAAAGGTACAGGAAAAAATACAGGATTATAATCTTCTGGACCACCTTTGTATATATAGTCCTTTCAGGTCATATGGCTCAGGACTGTAGTTTGAACCCATGTTTCTCATTTTTTTTGTTTGTTTGTTTTTTGAGACAGAGTCTCGCTGTGTCGCCCATGCTGGAGCGCAGTGGCGCAATCTCGGCTCACTGCAACCTCTGCCTCCCGGGTTCAAGCGATTCTCCTGCCTCAGCCTCCCGAGTAGCTGGGATTACAGGCGCGCACCACCACGCCCGGATAATGTTTTGTATTTTAGTAGAGACGGGGTTTCACCATGCCGTCCAGGCTGGTCTCGAACTCCCAACCTCAGGTGATCCGCCCGCCTCGTCCTCCCAAAGTGCTGGGATGACAGGCCTGAGCCACCGCGCCCGGCCCACATTAAGTCTTTAAATGCCCCGCTGGGGACTAAGATGCCCCTGGTGGAATCCAGGAGCCCTGGTGGTGGCTTCTGCGGGGCCCAGGCCGAGATGAGGGAGAGGCCGGGAGGAGTGGACTGGGCTGGCCCGTGGGCCGGGGGTCGGTGGTTTCTCGTGCCCTCCCCTCGGCTCCAGGGATTTCCCCCGTGAAGCCGGCACCGAGGTCCGGACAGGAAAGCACTTTGAGCCATGGATTTATGTAAAATCCAGATGAGGAGCTGGAGCTGGTTTCTCCTCCCGCGTCAGGCGGCGCCACCGGAACGTCCTGGCGGGACACACACTCACGCCACACCCCCTGGCGGGTCTCTCGCCACGCGGAGAGAGCGCCCGAGCCCCCTTCGCCCCGCGAGGTTCCCAGGGTGTAGGCAGGCCCGGGGGGCGCCATCCGCCTTCCTGCGCGAGTCACGGACACGACCCGGGCCCTGAAGGCGTCTGCATCACCGCTCCCGCCGAAACCTCAGAAACCGAGGCCGAACACTCGCCGGGCTCCTCGCAGCGGCGGCGGGCGGTGACTCAGGGGTTCCCGACTGGATTAACCGCGCCTGGAGGACTAGGCAGCCCGGGCGACTTACCGCAGCCTCATCACGTGACCAGGACCTGCGGCCCCCGCCCCCGCAGACTCCGTCCCCGCGGGCCCCGCCCCCGCAGACTCCGTCCCCGCGGGCCCCGCCCCCGCAGACTCCGTCCCCGCGGGCCCCGCCCCCGCAGACTCCGCCCCCCGCGGGCCCCGCCCCCTCAAGGCCCCGCCCCCACGGGGGAC
Organism: Homo sapiens; assembly: GCF_000001405.40. NCBI lineage: Eukaryota > Metazoa > Chordata > Mammalia > Primates > Hominidae > Homo > Homo sapiens. The sequence goes on along the minus strand of NC_000017.11, from coordinate 1,203,360 downwards.
CGCCCCGCAGGCTCCTCCCCGCGGACCCCGCCCCCCATGGACTCCGCCCCCACGAGCCGGGCCACGCCCCCTGAGGACTGCGCGGGAGCCTGGCTGGATCCGAAGCCCCTTCCAAGGAGTCTCCCCAGGATCCTCTGCTCACACCGGCAAGTGAAAGACCTTTTAAAAGGAATGGGGCTGGGCGCGATGGCTCACGCCTGTCATCCCAGCACTCTGGGAGGCCGAGGCGGGCGGATCACCTGAGGTCGGGAGTTCGAGACCAGCCTGGCCAACATGATGAAACCTCGTCGCTACTAAAAATACAAAATTAGCCAGGCGTGGTGGTGCATGCCTTTAATCCCACCTACTTGGGAGGCTGAGGCAGGAGAATTGCTTGAACTCGGGAGGCGGAGGTTGTAGTGAACCGAGATCACACCACTGTACTGTAGCCTGGGGGACAGAGCAAGACTCCATCTTAAAAAAAAAAAAAAAGTAATGGCAAAAACAGCAATTACTTTTGCACCAACCTAAATAGTAGGGTTCGAGGAGAGCTGAGCTGACCACTTTCTCCCAAGCAGTAGAAGCTTCCTTGTTGAAACAAGAGGGCCATTTGTCTCCAAGGTCTCTGTTTCTAGCCGCAGTGTTTCCTAACCCTAAACCTAGGCCTATTTCATCAAGGGTCAGCGGATTAGGAGTAGATGGCTATGGATCACCTTCCCTTTCCTAACAGGGTCTTCATTTCATGCAACATTTGCTGCCAGCTCATATGTGAAGATGTGAAAAGGGGGCAGCTGGGGCCTTTCAGAAGAGGGTCAGGAATCTGAGCCTCTTTGTCCATAGGGGAAATACTCTGAATGCAACTTCATCATGAGTGGGCACGTGTGTGTTTGGGGACTGTTCGCTGAAGAGTATAGGAAAGAGACAGCCGGGATCCCCTTTGAATTTGCAATTTAGAATGAGTGATCTAAGATGAGTAATAAGAGGTTGGAGATTCTCTTTTGAATGTGCGCTCTGGGGCTCTGGTATGGCTGCATCTGTTATAAAGAGGTTCTTGGGCCAGGTGCGGTGTCTCACACCTGTAATCCCAGCACTTTGGGAGGCCGAAGGGGGTGGATCACCTGAGGTCGGGAGTTGGAGACCAGCCTAGCCAACATGGGGAAACCCCATCTATGCTAAAAATACAAAAATTAGCTGGGCATGGTGGTGCCCCAACCTGGGCAACAGAGCGGCTACAGAGCCAGACTCTGTTTCGAAAAATAAATAAATAAAAGGAGGCAAAGGGATTATGTTTTTCTAGATGGATCTTCTTTCTCTTAATCTAGCTGCTCTTGAATAGCAAAGTATGGGAGGAACACACTTATGAAGAATAGCGTTGCTTTGACTTTTTAAGAAACACTAGTAAGCAGGATGGGCGCGGTGGCTCACGCCTGTAATCCCAGCACTTTGGGAGGCCGACGCGGGCGGATCACGAGGTCAGGAGATCGAGAGCATCCTGGCTAACACGGTGAAACCCCATCTCTACTAAACATACAAAAAAATTAGCCGGGCGTGGTGGTGGGCGCCTGTTGTCCCAGCTACTCAGGAGGCTGAGGCAGGAGAATGGCGTGAACGTGGGAGGCAGAGGTTGCAGTGAGCCAGAGATCACGCCACTGCACACCAGCCTGGGCAACAGAGCGAGACTCTCTCAAAAAAACAAACAAACAAGCAAAAATGCTAGTAAGCTACCTCTGCACTGTCAATGAGACACCCCCAGAAAACAAAGCGTGTGGTTTTGCTTTGGTGACCTTCACACCACGCACAATATCGGGGTTGCCGTCATCTCTTCGGCATCGGGGGGCCTGTTTCACTTTTTGTCTTGTTTTTACCCTCCGGAGAGAGGTGTTGTGTGTGTGTGTACCCGTGTTATACACGCTCACATAAAAGTCAGCCAGCATGATGATAATAGCTGATACTGCGTGAGTGCTAACGAGGGAACAGGCGCTGTGCGGGGTGTCTTCTTTTCACGATCTCGCTGGGTCTTGTTAACAATCTCAGTTAAAGCACTTACCGTCATTACTGAAGAGACTGAAGCTCAGAGAGGTTCAATACGTCGTGACACCAGGCCGTGAACCGGGTCTGTTCTGTCTCTAGAACCCACATCCTGACCTAAAGCATTGTGCTTTGCATCCGGAGCAGCAGCCTCGTGGACACCGGCCCCGTGAAGCTATTGCTGATGTGAACAGTCTTGAGTGATGCGGCTGCCTGAGGGGCACCAAAGCCTCCCCGGCTGCTCCTCTGATCATTTTATTCCTATCAGGGTTTGGGGCTTGGGCCCTGAATCCAAACAGAACTTTCCCTTTACAAGTCTTCCTGTACTTTCCTCCCCCCATCCTCCTTAGTTTCCATTGCTGAAAGGCTGATGTCATTAACACAGCCCCTCCTGAGGCAGGTGGGTGTCCCTGGCCAACCCCAAGGCTTTCTCCCAGTCTCTAAGCTGTAGCCCTGCCCAGAGGAAGGAAGAGCCCCAGGACCTTGTCAGGAGCAATTCTCAGCTTTTTACTGGGGATGTTATAGATGAGGCTTTATCTCTGGTGTCCCTGGACGGTGCTGATAACCCAGGTCATGTTCCTGTCTCCCCGAAGTAACCGGAGACATCTTGCACCATGAACAAACCGGGATGACGTGCCCGGGTTTCCACCTGGGGATCCATCTTTGTGTCTGCACCACGGAGGCCCCGAATAAAGTGAGGTCATAGCTCATCTAGGTGAAACTTGTTCTGCTTGATGTAACGGGAGGAGGGGAGAAAATGAAGCTGGACTGGCCAAAGATCAGGCTGAGAAATTCCTGGGCACAGTCTGGAGAGCCACTCCAATTACACCTGTCCCTCCATTTTCATGGGGGATTGGCCCCAGGACCCCTGGCAGATACCAGAATCCCAGGACGCCCAAGTCTCTTATATAAGGTGCTGTAATAGTTACATGTAACCTAATCACGTCTCCCATAGACTTTATTTAAAAAAATTTTTTTTAATGGAGACAGTGTCTTGCTATGTTGCCCAGGCTGGTCTTGAACTCCTGGCTTCAAGCGATCGTCCGAAAGTGTTGGGATTACAGGCGTGAGTCACCATGCCTGCCCCCGACCCCCGTGTACTTTAACTTATCTCTAGGTTATTTTTAATACCTAATACATTGCAAATGCTATGTGGTTGTTATGCTGTATTATTTGTATTTTTTATTTTTGTGGTGTTTTTTTTTAATTGTTTTCCTCCCAAATATTTTTGATCTGTGGTTGGTTGAATCTGAGGGTGCCCTTGGATAGGGATAGTGTGGCTTCCAGCCAGGTAGAGAAGGCCAACTATAAAACTTTGTAAAGAGCTCTATGGTTGCAGCACACCAACATGGCACATGTATACATATGTAACAGACCTGCACGTTGTGCACATGTACCCTAAAATTTAAAGTATAATAAAAAAAAAAAGAAAAAAGAGCTCTATTATATGCATACAAAAAAAGCTGGAAAATGCTAATTGGGGTGGTGTATTTTATGGGTCACATTTTACTCTTTTATTGTCTAAAAGTTTTTAAAATTCTGGCTTTATGACTTATATGACAGAAAAAAAAAACTGAATAAACTTATAGTTTTAAAAAATTGGCCAGGTGCTGTGGCTCACACCTGTAATCCCACCACTTTGGGCAGCTGAGGTGGGTGGATCACCTGAGGTCAGGAGTTCAACTGAGGTCAGCCTGGCCAACATGGTGAAACCCTGTCTCTACTGAAAATGCAAAAATTAGCCGGGCGTGGTGGCGGGCGTCTGTAATCCTAGCTACTTGGGAGGCTGAGGCAGGAGAATTGCTTGAACCCGGGAGGGGGAGGCTGCGGTGAGAGTCCGTCTCTCCCTTCCACCCCCAAAAATATCCCACCAGCTACAGTGAGCTGTGATTGCACCACTGCACTCCAGCTGGGGAACAGAGCAAGATCCTGTTTCAAAAAAACCAGAAAACAAAAACCCCAACAGCCTGTATGTTTTGTACCTTCCGTGTGGCCTCTTGGTGGTCTATGACATGGGTACAGATGAGCCCCTGCCAGTGTGTTAATTGCAGCGTGGCTTCTGAGCCAGCAGCCCGGGTGATCTTCCTAGCCGGGCCCTGGCTCACTGCCTCTGTTTCCCCCAGTCTTCCCTGGCACCTGCAGAGCCAGAGAGAGGTTTTGTTTTCCAGAACCAGGCATTCGTGACCCTGACCACTCCCGAGCAAAGTTTTCACACCTTCCCCGGCCCCCTCAGAGGAATGAAGGTCTGGGAGGAGATAGGGCCTCGTCCTTGGAACCAGGCACCTCTTTTTTTTTTTTTCGAGTCAGAGTCCCGCTCTGTTGCCCAGGCTGGAGTGCAATGGCACCGTCTCGGCTCACTGCAACCTCTGCCTCCCAGGTTCAAACGATTCTTCTACCTCAGCCTCCCAAGTAGCTGGGATTGGCCAGGCGCGGTAGCTCACGCCTGTAATCCCAGCACTTTGGGAGGCTGAGGCGGGCGGATCCCAAGTTCAGGAGATCATAACCATCCTGGCTAACACGGTGAAACCCACCTCTATTAAAAAAAAAAAAATTTGCCAGGTGTGGTGGTGGGCAACTGTAGTCCCAGGTACTGGAGAGGCTGAGGCAGGAGAATGGCGTGAACCCGGGAGGCGGAGCTTGCAGTGAGCCGAGATGGCATCACTACACTCCAGCCTGGGCAACAGAGCGAGACTCCATCTCAAAAACAAAAACAAAAAACCAAGTAGCTGGGATCACAGGTGTACACCGCCACGCCTGGTTAATATTGTATTTTTAGTAGAGATGGGGTTTCACCATGAGGCCAGGCTGGTCTCGAACTCCTGATCTCAGGTGATCCACCCGCCTCAGCCTCCCAAAGTGCTGGGATTATAGGTTTGAGCCACTGTGCCTGGCCGGAACCAGGCAGCTTTGATTGCAGAATCAGGCAGAGGCCAGGTGGGAAGTTGCCGTCTGTTGGTGTCTCAGGCCAAGCTCTCCTTGTCCAGACAGAACCTCTTCCTTTTTGGTCCTGAAAGTCACACTAAAAATCAGCAGCAGCTCGGCCTTGGGCAACGTGCCACGTGTACCGACGTTGGGGTTAGTGGTCTTTGCAGGAAGTCGAGGTTGTTTGTGGGCCTGGAAGGAAATGTGGCCTGCCTGCATGTACAGCCTCATGTGTGGCCTCTGGGAGGGGGAGCAGACAGAACCCGCAGCCCCAGAGACTGGGAGGCTTCTCTGTGGCAGCTTCCTCATTTCTGGTTAGTTGTGGCAGGGGGCAGATACAGTCTCTTTTGCAAAAGCAGCTCCTTTATGTCCAGAAGGCGACAGCTCAGCTCTCCTTTAGGGCCCCCAAAGAACTAACCCACAGCGTGGGGCTGCGGCCAGCCGGGCGCAGCAGCAGCGGCAGTGTTCCTGTCTCAGCTGCCTGCAGCATGGCTTTGATCTGACAGTCAGCAGGGTGTATTTGCCCCCAAAGCCAGTGGTCTGAGGAGCCCAGCTCCAGTTAGGTCTTAGGTGGGGACACCATAGATACTGCTCTCTGGGGAAAACCAAGTCACGGTCTGGTTTGGGTGAGCGCTGATCTTCCCTCCAGTGTGATCCCAAGCTCCCTGGGATGTTGGCTATAGGGAGCAATCAGGAGCCACTCCCCAAGACTCAGGGGACCAGCCTGGGGTCCAGGAAAGAAGACTTCCCAGCACCCTCCCCCTCTCTGCTGGTGGTCTGGCACTCCCCTCATGTGACAGGCATGTGGCTTTTGGGAGGAAAGAATCTTTCACAATCAGACAGAAACAGCAACTGGGAAAATAACTCATGCAGGGGTTTGGGCAATGAGTGTCTAGAAGGCTGTGGGCCACGAGAAGGGGATTAGGGTGAGGTTTCATCAGAGCTGTGGCTAAGATCCGAGGAGGCTCCTAGAGCTCAAGGCTTCAGAATGACCGGTCAGGAGCCAGAGGGATGGTGTCTTTCTCTCTCCAACCTCTCAGACCAAAAATGGGGCATGGGGCTGACCCTGCCCAATTTTTTTCAAACCCGCAGAGACAGAGGTTTGAAATCATTCACTCCAGCATTAAGTGGAGGTGGCTCCAGCTCAGAGCCTCCAGCCAAACCCTCCCTGCGCCACAGCAGGAGATCACGGCCTGTTTCCCAGAGGCTCTGAAATAGGAGTGACTCTCCTTAAAGTGCTCCTTGCAATGCTCATCCGAGCCTGGGCCAGGCAGGGCTGGGGGCTGCCTTGAAGAAAGAGATGCCCCCGAGATCCGATACCCTCTGGAGCGTTGCAGGATGCGTCTGTCCAGGAGGCACTGCAGGGGAGCCGGGGTTCCCGGAGCATTTGGGAAGGTTTCTGAGCAGCACAGGGTCCTTCCTTAGGAAGGCGGATCTTGGCCGGGTGCGGTGGCTCACGCCTGTCATCCCAGCACTTTGGGAGGCCGAGGCGGATGGATCACGAGGTCAGGAGATTGAGACCATCCTGGCTAACACGGTGAAACCCCATCTCTACTAAAAATACAAAAAATTAGCCGGGCACGGTGGTGGGCGCCTGTAGTCCCAGCTACTCGGGAGGCTGAGGCAGGAGAATGGCATGAACCCGGGAGGCGGAGCTTGCGGTGAGCCAGGATCGCGCCACTGCACTCCAGCCTGGGCGACAGAGCAAGACTCCGTCTCAAAAAAAAAAAAAAAAGGAAGGTTGGATCTCCTGTAGCTTCCTGTGGTGCCGTCTTCTCCCAGGGACTCGAGCCTTGTTCAGAGCACTGACAGGATTTTTCAGAAAGTTCTGTGTGTGTGGCTGCTCTTTGGTAAGCCCAGGGCAACAGAGTCATCAACATTTAGGGAGGGGGTGGGTGAGGCAGGATGTAGAGTTAATACCCAGTTTTGTCCTATGTTCCTCTGAGAAGTTAGCTAAGAAATCTTTTCTAAATTAAATTTAATTAATTAATTTGTTTTTTGGGCCAGAGTTTTCACTCTTGTCACCCAGGCTGGAGTGCAGTGGTGTGATGTCAGCTCACTGTGACCTCCACCTCCTGGGTTCAAGTGATTCTCCTGCCTCAGCCTCCCGAGTAGCTGGGATTACAGGCACGTGCCACCATGCCCAGCTAATTTTTGTATTTGTAGTAGAAAGAGGGTTTCGCCATGTTGGCCAGGCTGGTCTTGAACTCCTGACCTCAGGTGATCCGCCTGCCTCGGCCTCCCAAAGTGCCGGGATTATAGGCGTGAGCCACCGCACCTTGCCTATTTTTTTTTTTTTTTTTGAGACAGAATCTCGCTCTGTTGCTCAGGCTGGAGTGCAGTGTCGTGATCTCGGCTCACTGCAACCTTCTCCTTCTTGGTTCAAGCGATCCTCGTGCCTCAGCCACCTGAGTACCTGGGATTACAGGCACCTGCTACCATGCCTGGCTAATTTTTGTATTTTTAGTAGAGATGGGGTTTTGCCATGTTGCCCAGGCTCGTCTCGCACTCCTGACCTCAAGTGATCCCTGACCTCAAGTGATCTCTCCCCACAATCCCAACTTGCCTTCCCAAAGTTCTGGGATTACAGGCGTGAGCCACCGCGCCGGCCAATAATTTTTTTTTTTTGAGACAGAGTCTCGCTCTGTTGCGCAGGCTGGAGTGCAGTGACACGATCTCGGCTCACTGCAACCTTTGCCTCCCGGGTTCACACCATTCTCCTGCCTCAGCCTCCTGTGTAGCTGGGACTACAGGCGCCCACCACCACGCCCGGCTAATTTGTTGTATTTTTAGTAGAGACGGGGTTTCACCGTGTTAGCCAGGATGGTCTCGATCTCCTGACCTCGTGATCCACCCGCCTCGGCCTCCCACAGTGCTGGGATGACAGGCGTGAGCCACTGCCCAGCCAATAATTTTCTTTAAAATGCTCCTTACGCTACTTGCTGAGCCTGGGTCAGGCAGGGCTGGGGGCTGCCTTTGGGAGAGAGATACACCAGAGACTAGTTAATCACTGTAGCAGTAGAAAACACCCTTAAGGGCCGGGCCTGATGGCTCACGCCTGTAATCCCAGCACTTGGAGAGGCCAAGGTGGGAGGATCCTTTGAGGCCAGGACTTTTTTTTTTTTTTGAGACAGTCTCATTCTGTCGCCCAGGCTGGAGTGCTGTGGCGCGATCTCCGCTCACTGCAAGCTCCGCCTTCCGGGTTCACGCCATTCTCCTGCCTCAGCCTCCCGAGTAGCTGGGACTACAGGCGCCCGCCACTGCGCCCGGCTAATTTTTTGTATTTTTAGTAGAGACGGGGTTTCACCGTGTTAGCCAGGATGGTCTCGATCTCCTGACCTCGTGATCCGCCCGCCTCGGCCTCCCAAAGTGCTGGGATTACAGGCGTGAGCCACCGCGCCTGGCCTGAGGCCAGGACTTCAAGAGCAGCCTGGGCAACATAGTGAGGTTCTGTCTGTACAAAATTAAAAAAAAAATTAGGGTCGGGCGCGGTGGCTCACACCTGTAATTCCAGCACTTTAGGAGGCCGAGGTGGGTGAATCACCTGAGTCAGGAGTTCGAGACCAGTCTGGCCAACATGGCGAAACCCTGTCTCTACTAAAAATACAAAATTTTTAGGGCATGGTGGCACATGCCTGTAATCCCAGCTACTAGGGGGGCTGAGGCAGGAGGATTGCTTGAACCCGGGAGGTGGAGGTTGCAGTGAGCTGAGACCGCACCACTGCACTCCAGCCTGGGCAACAGAGCGAGACTCCATCTTAAAAAAAAAAAAATTAGCTGGGTGTGGTGGTGCATGCCTGTAGTCCTAGCTATGCAAGAAGTTGAGGCAGGGGGATGGCTTGAGCCTGGGAGGTCGAGACTGTAGTGAGCTATGATTGCACCACTACACTCCAGTCTGGGCGATAGAGTGAGACTTGTCTCTAAAAAATAAAGAAGGCTGGGCGAAGTGTCTCACACCTGTAATCCCAGCACTTTGGGAAGACGAGGCAGGCAGATCACCTGAGGTCAGGAGTTGAGACCAGCATGGCCAACATGGTGAAACCCCTCTCTACTAAAAATACAAAACAAAACAAAAAAATAGCTGGGCGTGGTGGCGTGTACCTGTAATCTTAGCTACTTGGGAGGCTGAGGCAAGAGAATTACTTGAACCCGGGAGGCGGAGGTTGCAGTGAGCCAAGATCGTGCCATTGCACTCCAGCCTGGGCGACAGAGAGAGACTCTGTCTCAATCAATCAATCAAAATATAAATAAATAAAAAAAAACAAAGGAAACACCCTTGCCACCAGAGATCCTCCAGGTACAAACCTCATGTTCAAGGAGAAATCAAAAGACCCAGGAGCTTGTCAGATTTCAGTAGAGGAGAAAGAGGATGGAAATTCATCTTTGTGTCTTCCTTCCTCTGCCACTTCCCCTGGAGAGTAAGCTTTAAGAGCTGCAGTGGCCAGGCGCGGGGCTCACGCCTGTTATCCCAGCACTTTGAGAGGCCAAGGTGGGCAGATCACGAGGTCAGGAGATCAAAACCATCCTGGCTAACACGGTGAAACCCCGTCTCTATTAAAAATACAAAAAAAAAATTAGCTGGGCGTGGTGGCGGGTGCCTGTAGTCCCAGTTATTCAGGAGGCTGAGGCAGGTGAATCGCTTCAACCTGGGAGGCGGAGGATGCAGTGAGCCGAGATTGTGCCACTGCACTCCACACTCCAGCCTGGGGGACAGAGGGAGACTCTATCTCAAACATAAAAACACACAAACAAAAAGGGCTGCACTGATGTGCTTGAATTAGCGTCAGTTGCCAGTACTCCCTGGCGTGCTGGAAACCGAGCTCTTCCTGAGTGAATGTCGGGCGGCATCTGGTCAGGATGCTTTCCTGAAGCTTCAGGACTGGTGGCCAGGTACAATTGCTCTGGACCGAGCCAGACCCGAGTGAGAACTTGGCTCTGTCACTCACTAGCAGTGTGAACTTGAGCCTCTTCTGTAAAGCGGGCGTGGTGACTGTGGCTTCCACATAGAGAGGCTGCTTGCGAAGAGTGAAGGTTACGTGCTTAACAGGGTGCCTAGAACGTAAATACTGGCGATGCTCGGGACACGTCGGCCGAAGGGCGTTCAGCAAACTCGCCGGGAGAGCGGGGGAGTCCTGAATCCTTGTGGGTATTGAGGGGGAGGGGGTGTCCCAGAAAGGCTTCTCTATAAGGTGGATCTAAGAAAAGCTGCTAATTCTGTTGTTTTCCTGAATTCATGCTGAGGCCACACGTTAGATTAGTAGCAGTTTCTATATTCGCCCCCAGTTCCCAAAAGAACCTTCTCCACAGTCATCCATTCTAGCTCTTCGCTCCATTTCCACGTCTGCCTCTGTGCAAGTTTTTGTTTTGTTTTGTTTTTTGTTTTGAGATAGAGTTTCGCTCTTTTTGCTCAGGCTGGAGTGCAATGGCGCAATCTCGGCTCACTACAGCCTCCGCCTCCTGGGTTCAAGGGATTCTCCTGCCTCAGCCTCCCCAGTAGCTGGGATTACAGGCGCCCGCCACCACACCCCACTAATTTTCTATTTTTAGTAGAGAGGGGGTTTCACCATATTGGTCAGGCTGCTCTCAAACTCCCAACCTCAGGTGATCCACCTGCCTCAGCCTCCCAAAGTGCTGGGATTATAGGTGCCTTCCACCACGCCCAGCTATTTTTTTGTATTTTTAGTAGAGACGGGGTTTCACCATGTTGGCCAGGCTGGTCTTGAACTCGTGGCCTCGGGTGATCCTCCTGCCTCGGCCTCCCAAAGTGCTGGAATTACAGGTGCCTTCCACCATGCCCAGCTAATTTTTTGTATTTTTAGCAGAGACGGGATTTCACCATGTTGGCCAGGCTGGTCTTGAACTCGTGGCCTCAGGTGATCCGCCCACCTCGGCCTCCCAGAATGCTGGGATTACAGGTGTGAGCCCCCGTGCCCAGCTCACATTCTTTCTAGAAGCTTTTAGTCATCAGCTCAGTTTGAAGTGGTACCTCCCTCCTGCCCCCTCCATAACTCACTGTCCAGACCACTGTCTGTCTTTCCCTCTCTGTGATTTCTGGGCATGTCTGAAGTCTATTATCATAAGCAGCCTGGGAAAAGGAACTCTGGTTTATACAGTAGGGCTCAGGGAATATTCAGTGAAATAATAAGTAACTTTTCTGCAGGGCGCCGTGGCTCATGCCTGTAATCCCAGCACTTTGGGAGGATGAGGCAGGAGGATTGCTTGAGCCTACGAGTTCGAGACCAGCCTGGGTAACATAGTGAGACTCTGGCTCTACAAAATAATAATAATAATAACTTTTCTAGCCCTGAAAACCCATTAAACTTCCTGGAATATAGGAACTGAAGGGCGGGAAACAGGAAAGTTTCCCCCTTCCTTTATCAGCTACTGCCTGGGACTTACATCTCTTCGTGTCGAGGTGAGAACATCAAGGGACAGACAGGGAAAGGCAGTTCTTCAGAGTCACACAGCAAGTTAGTGGCAGAACCAGCAGCTGGATTCAGGCTGTGCTCGGTCGAGCGCTCTTTCCCTCCTGTTGGAGAAAGGCAGCAGAGTGTTGAGGGGCTCATGTGTGGCTCCTGGAGCGGTCGTGTGGCACGGTGACAATGAAGTGATTTAATACATGCAGAGTCCTGACGGCAGCCTGGGCGCAGGTAGCAGGTGCAAGTGTTTGCTGCCTCGTTTCTATGTTACCCTCTGTTCTTCTTCCACACCCCTACTGCTTTCAACAGGCCCCTCATTTCAGGAGACAGAAGAACCCTGACACTATTGAATATGTCAGAACAGGCCAGGTGCTCACGCCTGGAGTCCCAGCACTTTGGGAGGCCAAGGCAGGTGGATCACCTGAGGTCAGGAGTTCGAGACCAGCCTGACCAACATGGAGAAACCCCGTTTCTACTAAAAATACAAAATTGCTGGGCATGGTGGCGGGCGCCTGTAGTCCCAGCTACTCGGGAGGCTGAGACAGGAGAATCGCTTGAACCCGGGAGGTGGAGGTTGCAGTGAGCTGAGATTGCGCCACTGCACTCCAGCCTGGGCAACAGAGGGAGACTCTGTCTCAAAAAAAAAAAAAAAAAAAAAGAAAAGAAAAATGCTGGAACATCCAGAACATCGTTACTAGGCGGGGGTGAGAAGCTGGTGAGAAGCTGGCAGGAAGCTTGGCGGGAGGCTGGCGGGAAGCTGGCAGACCAACCGCCGTCTGCTGGGGTGGCTTTCTGGATCTTTACAAACTCGAGGCCCGAGAACCGGATCTTGATTTGACATTGGTTGTTTTGTTTATTTCTTTGTTTTGGTGACGGGAACATGGAAAGGAGCCTCTCCCCTGGGCACAGGCCCCCAGCAGACCTGGAGTCTGGTGTCGCACTGTATAGCGCCCTCGGGCCGGCGTGGTGGTTACCATGGCCCAGCGCAATCTGCAGCCGCAGAAGTCGTGCCCAAGCCCTGTCTGTCAGGCCCTGCAGACTCGCTCAGGCCAGCCCCTTGGGAGCGTGAGGGCCCAGAATCCATTTCTATCATATTTCTCCCATCATTGAACTGAAAGCCAGATTTTCCATCTGTCTGGTTGGAGGTTCATCAAAGTCATTCCTGGGAGCTGGTGACTCACAGCTTCGCCTGCAGCGCCGTGGGGCAGAGGGGTTGAGCATACCGTGAGCAACCAGCATCTTCTTTCTCGGAATCCCAGCAGACGGCGAGAGCAGACGGGACGGGCACCCACCTAGAAACTGCTTTCTTCCCAGGGAAGAGCTACTGTTTACCTCCCTCCCCGAAACATAAGTTTTTTTGTGTGTGTTTTTTTGAGATGGAGCCTCACTCTCTTGCCCAGGCTGGAGTGCAGTGGCACGATCTCAGCTCACTGCAACCTCCACTTCCGCCTTCTGGGTTCAAGCGATTCTCCTGCCTCAGTCTCCTGAGTAGGTGGGATTACAGGCACCCACCACCACGCCTGGCTAATTTTTGTAATTTTAGTAGAGACGGGGTTTCACCTTGTTGGCCAGGCTGGTCTCGAACTCCTGACCTCAGGTGATCCACCCGCCTCGGCCTCCCAAAGTGCTGGGATTACAGGCGTGAGCCACCGTGCCTGGCCTAAAAACAAGTTTTATTGCAAATTTGGGACAGGCCTCGGAGAAGGACTCTGAGAACTGAGACCGAAGTTCCCTTAGTGGGCTGAACCATTTCTGGGTTTCTATGCCGTTTCCATGTTGGAGCCTGATTGGATAGAAAGGAGTACAGCCTCCAATACTGGCTGCTGAACAAGGGAACCCTGTGCACTGGGGAATTTTCAGTTAGGGTTTTTTGTGAGCAGTTAGAGAATTAATTGGAACAGCAATTCTCCCACCCCAAATCCCATCCTAGGGGCCATTTGTTCTTTCTTTGCATCTTTCCAGAGAGGGTGGTCATTCTCGACGCGACGTCTCAACCAGCCAAACAGTTCTTTTCCAGCTGGTGGAGGTGGGCTGGGTGGAACACCTGTACTGCCTCATTCCAGGCTCTTTGTGACCAGGAATATGCTTGGTCATTCATTCATTCACACTTGCTCATTCATTCACTGAAACTATTTGTGCAAGGTCCTGGGGTTACAGTGAATAACAGATGTGGTTCCTATCCTCCAAGAGACCTCAGTCTAGCAGGAGAGACAGGCATTGAACGTTTACAAGAGTCCTGAGCATTCAGAAGCAGGGAACGACGCAGGCCTTCCTGGTCTGGTGGGTCGGGAAAGCTCCCTGGAAGACAAGATACTTAAGTTAAGACCAGAAGGGAGAGTAGGAGTTACCCAGGCAGAGTGGGGGTAGAGCGTTTTTGCCAGCGATGTCAACCTATGCAAAAGTTCCAAGGCAGGAAAAAGTAGAAGAGAGCAAGGAGCAGAATGTGCCAGATGAAGCTGAAAGGGGTGCAGAGGCCCGGCCACAGGTTCCTTAGGCCACCAAAAGGATGTGCGGGTCTCTATCCCGACAGCAGTGACTCGGGAGACTGAGGCGGGAGAATCACTTGAACTCGGAGGCGGAGGTTTCAGTGAGCCGAGATTGCACCATTGCACTCCAGCCTGGGGGACAAGAACGAGACTCTGTCTAAAAAAAAAAAAAAAAAGGAAGCCATAGACAGGTCTTAGTAAGAGAGGAATGACATGCTACATGTGTTTTAGGATGTCTTAGAGCAAGCCTTCAGTTGCTGTTAGACACTGGGAAACTCTTTCCTCTAATTGATCTTCATATCTTTGATGTCAGTCTCGTGAGCCTGGGACTGCTCCAACCAACGGACCCAGCCAAAACGTGGCCACTGTGGCCGGAGTCTCACCCTTCTTCACTCTCCTTTCGGGAGAACACGAGTCATGTGTGCTAGTTTCTCGTGCCAGCTCCTGGCACCGGACTGTGTGTTCATGAGACTGAGCTGACCAGCTCAGGACAAGGTGCCAAGAGCTTGGGGAAGAGGAAATTAGGAGTCACGAGGTTTCACGATCAGAACCCGAAAGTGCTTTATGGAAAATTTGCATGTCCTGGGTGCAGCTCAGCCTAAGAGAAGCTGGTGCAGTGATTTCAGGGGTGTGTGTGCCTGGCTTCTGGGAGGGGCAGCCAGAGGCACCGGCTTCCCTTGTGAAGGCAGCTGGGTCAGACTGCCCCCTCCATCCACCCCTACGTTTATGAAGGCGAAATTTAGTAGGAAGGACATCCAAAGCAGTGTGATGGGGAAAGAGGACCAGCTGGGGGTGAGATGGGAACTCGCCATCCGCCATCCTGTTTTCCCCAACCAGGTAGAGTTCTCAACGCTCTTGGCACTTACAACAGATGTTCTGTAGGGCAAGTCCTGTAGGACATTTTAAGATTTCTGGCTTCTGCCTACTGAAGGCTAGTAGCGACCCCTAGTTATTGTGACCTCTTTTTTTTTTTTTTTGAGACGGAGTCTCCCTCTGTCACCCAGGCTGGAGTACAGTGGTGCGATCTTGGTTCACTGCAAGCTCCGCCTCCCAGGTTCAAGCGATTCTCCTGCCTCAGCCTCCTGAGTAGCTGGGACTACAGGCGCCCGCCACCATGCCCAGATGATTTTTTGTATTTTTAGTAGAGACGGAGTTTCACCGTGTTAGCCAGGATGGTCTCAAATTCCTGACCTAGTGATCTGCCCGCCTCGGCCTCCCAAAGTGCTGGGATTACAGGCATAAGCCACTGCAGCTGGCCTATTGTGACCTCTTTAAATGCTCCCACACATTGTTATTTTTATTTACTTATTTGTTTTTTTGAGACAGGGTCTCGCTCTGTCTCCCAGGCTGGGGTGTTAGTGGTACGATCTCAGTTCACTGCAGCCTCGATCTCAAGTGATTTTCCGGCTTCAGCCTCTTGAGTAGCTGGGACTACAGATGCCCGCCACCATGTCCGGCTAATTTTGTGTTTTTAATAGAGACAGGGTTTCACCACATGAGCCAGGCTGGTCTGGAACTCCTGACCTCAAGTGATCCGCCTGCCTTGGCCTCCCAAAGTGCTGGGATTACAGGTGTGAGCCTCTGTGCCCGGCCCAATTTGATAATATTTTATTTATTTATTTATTTATTTTGAGAGGGAGCCTCACTCTGTCGCACCCAGATTGGAGTGCGGTGGCATGATCTCGGCTCACTGCAACCTCCGCCACCCAGGTTCAAGTGATTCTCCTGCCTCAGCCTCCCGAGTAGCTGGGATTACAGGCACCCACCACCATGCCCGGCTACTTTTTGTATTTTTTTAAAGTAGAGATGGGGTTACACCATATTGGCCAGGCTGGTCTCGAACTCCTGACCTCAGCTGATCCGCCCACACTGGCCTCCCAAAGTGCTGGGATTACAGGTGTGAGCTGCCACACCCGGCCCATTTGAGGATATTTTAGTGAAGGTTTTGTCCGGCGGGATGATCATTCTCCCCATGTCACTCCTGGGGGCTTCTGCTCTCTCCTTCCCAGACGGAGCTCCTCCTGACTCCCCCAGCTGTGTTCCCAACAGCAGCCTGCAGCCCTGTGTCCAAGCTGGAGATTTTTGTCCAGGCACTTGCGGGCCGCTTGGCTGGAAGCCTCTGGTGGCCGAGGTGCTGCTGTGCGGCCGCCAGATGGCGCTGGGGAGCCCCCACTCTCTGCCGCAGGACGGGCAGAGGCAGGACTGGACTGCAGAGGGAACTTGCCTTGAAGAGGCCTGGTCCTTAAAGAGACACAGCACACACGGCCCGACCGGCAGCCCCAGAGCAGAGGCTCCACTGATGGCAGGCGCCCCTGGCTAGGCTCTGAGGTTCCTTTGCCCTCGCCTTGCTGAATGGTGAGCCGCTGCCTCTCGGAGCCCGTCTCCTTGACAGCCTGCCCTCGGCTCCTGCAGCCACTCCTGGGCCTGATGGGGACAGGGCCAGCCTGGTGGGTGGTGTCAGAGGTCCTGGCAGAGCAGCGTAGGCCTGGGATGCGTCTGCAGAATTCTGGCTGAACGAGCGAGGAGCACGGCCAGCTTCGGGGCCGTCGTGACCACAGGAGGGCAGAGGGCCAGCCCGTGAGCTCTGACCCCAGCTGGACGTGCTCTTGTTTCCCTTGGGGCTAAGGAGATTGGAGCCACTGAACTGAATCTCTGGGTTTTGGAGACTTAGAGAATCCATTGGACTCTTCTGCTGGCGTCTTTCTGAATGCTGATGGGGACTTGGTGGTAAGTAAATGAGTAGGGGGCTCCAGGCCCTGCTGTCGAGCCCTCGGACGGACCCTTTGGGAAAACTCTGCTGTTGACCTGTGGGTGGTGTCATCTGAGCCATGTCAGGTGAGGGCCACGTGAGCTGGGGCTTGGCGAGAGACCCTCCTAAAACGGTGGCTCGGGGAGTGCATAATCTAAGCCAGCGGCTCTGCCCAGGATGCTGCCCTTGCTGTGGCCCCTGGCCATGGGAACGGGGCTTCAACTCGGCCCCTGGGAAGTGTGTGGGGGCGTGTGGGGAGTGTCACAGCTGCAAGGACCTGATGTCACTGTGCTTTATCCTGCAGTGATGCCTAGGGAGGCAGTGAGGGGGTGAATGCAGCTCCCCGGGGAGCAGGTCCACATCTTGCCAGGGCAGCAGGTCTTCCCATGACTCAAGCTGACACAAAAGTTTGGTGCAGAAATGACTAACTGGGAAGGGCTTCCAGTTCACCTCTGTTGCCTGTAGATCTCACTGGCTGCTGGAAAAGCCGGGAGGCTGAGCAGAGGGCAGGTGAGAAGAGGGCAAAAGACAGACTCATAGGCTGAGACTTCACCCTTACAGGTGACACTGTGGAGGCCTGGGGAATTTTCTTCTTTCCCCAGACTGGAGGGCTGAGGATGAATCTTAGAATAGTAAATGCTGGCCGCACATGGTGGCTCACGCCTGTAATCCCAGCACTTTGGGAGGTGGAGGCGGGCGGATCACCTGAGGTTGGGAGTTCGAGACCAGCCTGGCCAACATGGCGAAACCCCATTTCTACTAAAAATACAAAAAATTGGCCAGGTGTGGTGGCGGGCTCCTGTAATCCTAGCTACTCGGGAGGCTGAGGCAGGAGAATCGCTTGAACCCAGGAGGCAGAGGTTGCAGTGAGCCGAGATCCTGCCACTGCACTCCAGCCAGGCAATAAGAGTGAAACTCCATCTCAAAAGAAAGAAAAAAAAGAATAGTAAATGCTGCTTTACTGTACCAAGGAAATGGGAATAGAGCAAAGCACGGAAAACAGGCCACCCCAGGATCTGACAGGAGAGTTTGTATTCTGCTAGTGCTCATAGGAGGCCTGGAGGTCGTCTTCTTGATCCACCTGGGCACATACCTTCTTTTTTTTTTTTTTTTTTTTTTTTTTATTTCTTTCTGAGACGGAGTCTCACTCTGTCACCCAGGCTGGAGTGCAGTGGCACGATCTCGGCTCACTGCAACCTCCACCTCCCAGGTTCAAGCGATTCTCCTGCCTCAGTCTCCCGAGTAGCTGGGATTACAGGTGCCCGCCACCACGCCCAGCTAATTTTTGTATTTTTAGTAGAGACGGGGTTTCACCATGTTGGCCAGGCTGGTCTCGAACTCCTGACCTCAGGTGACCCGCTGGCCTCGGCCTCCCAAAGTGCTGGGATTACAGGCGTGAGCCACTGTGCCTGGCCCTGGGCGCATACTGTCTACAGATGTGAACACTGAGGCTGGAAACTCTTGAGATTGGCCGGAGGCATTGAAGAAGTGGGGTTTGGCCGGGACTGGCATTTGGGAGATTGTCACTGGACTTTGTTCAGCTTGTCTCCAGGGTCATCTGGCCTGCTGTAGTAGATATGGTTTTCTTGGGATACCAGTTCTCTTTCTACTTTATCATCAGTGGCCCTGGGAGGGTTCTGAAATAACGCTGCCTGCCTCCCTCGTGTAGCTCCGATTTCTTCCTCCCTGAGTTTAACTTCATTCTGTTTATTCATTCATTCACTAATTGCCGCTCAATGCAGAGATTACACACGGGAACCCTGGATTCAGACTTGGTTCATTTCCAAGCATCGCCATCTGCTAGTTAGCCAATGGCTTAGCCTCTCTGCACCTCAATTTCTTCTTCTGTGAAATGGAGATAATAGTAAATTGGCTTATTGTAAGGATTACGTGAAATAACCTACGTAAAGCAGATAGAGCAGTGCCTGACACTTAAGAAGCACTCAGTAGACCAGGCACGGTGGCTCACATCTATAATCCCAGCACTTTGGGAGGGTGAGGCAGGAGGATCAGCTTGAACCCAGGAGTTCAAGGCTGCAGTGAGCTGTGAGAATGCCCACTGCACTCCAGACTGGGTGACAGAGCAAGACTCTGTCTCAAAAAAAAAAAAGCACTCAATAACTGTTAGCTGTCATTAATTTTATTTGTTCAATGTGCATTATTGAATGCCGATCTGCTGGGCGCTCGGCAGAAAGCTGATCTGGAGGCACCATGTGGTCATAGCTGTGCTGGGAGTCTACCTGAGCCTTGTTCACCCACTGCGCTGAGCACTGGGTCTGCCCAGTGAGGAAGATGCAGTCCTGGTTTTTTTATTTTTTATTTTTGAGACGGAGTCTTGCTCTGTCCCCAGGCTGGAGTGCAGTGGCGTGATCTCAGCTCACTGCAAGCTCCACCTCCCAGGTTCACACCATTCTCTCGCCTCAGCCTCCCGAGTAGCTGGGACTACAGGCGCCCGCCACCATGCCCAGCTAATGTTTTGTATATTTAGTAGGGACGGGGTTTCCCCGTGTTAGCCAGGATCGTCTCGATCTCCTGACTTCGTGATCCACCCACCTCGGCCTCCCAGAGTACTGGGATTACAGGCGTGAGCAACTGTGCCCGGCTCTGGCTTTTTTTTTTTTGAGAGGGAGTCTCACTCTGTTGCCCAGGCTGGAGTGCAGTGACAGGATCTCGGCTCACTGCTGGGATTACAGGCACATGCACCACGCCTGGCTAATTTTTGTGTTTTTAGTAGAGACGGGGTTTCACCATGCTGGCCAGGATGGTCTCGAACTCCCAGACTCAGGCTATCTGCCCATCTCGGCCTCCCAAAGTGCTGGGATTACAGGCATGAGCCACCGCGCCTGGCCAGTCCCAGCTTTTAAGGACCTGATGGGCCAGTGAGGGTGCAAACTCTCGGTTTTTTGGTCATCACAGTCTATTTTTGGTTTTGGTTTTTCATTTGAATGTAGAGGGCCCCACTCCCTCCCACCCACTGTGTATTCAGCCTCTGCACGCACCGGGGCTCCCTGCCTGGCCCCCGCATGGGAACATATTTTTGTCATCAGCGGTGACCTCTGGGTGATCAAGGAAGCAGAGACTCCTGGGGCCTTCCTGTCGTGTGCAGTGGAGCTGAGCTGCTAACATGAGAAGGGAGGAAATGTGGAGATACCCAGTTTTGGTTCTAGGGCCCGTCCCCTTTTTTCTGTCCTGGCCAAGAACCAAGGCTTCTACCTTGATTGGTAGAAGCAAGAGTTGGTCGTTGGAGAGGCCGTGAGTAGCACGTGCTTGGGAATTAGGAGCAGGGCAAATAGCCTTGAAAATGGGATGTACCTTCTTCCCACTCAGCCCCTCGTCATTAACCCAGTGCTCCTGGCGGTGCACCCAACCATGAAATCCCCTTTAAGTCCAGTGATGAGGCAGGAGCAGGCAGGTCACCCTGGGGTTGGAGAGCCGCAGACAGTCTGAGTGCACAGGCTGGAGGGAGGGCTGGGAGGGTGGAGAGCACTGGCCCCAGGGACTGTCTGGGGAATGCTTAGAAGGGGCCTGGAGGAGGCAGCGTGATAGATGGGGGTTCAGTGCCTTGGGGAGCACTGGCTGGTCCCCACCCGGTCCACATTTAGCTGAATCAGGAAGGTCTGTCTGCCACAGCTCCCCGCTCCTCTGACAGATTGGGGTTGATCGCTGGGGTTAGAGCACTTCAGGGTAGCATCACCTTTGGCAAAGCCCGGAGGAGAAGGACTCTTTAACTCCTTCCTTCCCAGCGCGTGACGTTGGATCTCCCCAACTCCTCAGTGCCAGGGATGCGGAGGTTTCTGTTCCCACCCAAATCACTGTGGTGCTCAAAGGCTCACACACTTGTCTCTGTGGCCAAGGTTAGCATCTGGCCGTGGTGTTAACATCTACTGGAAGCCATCCAACAAAGGCATCAAGGGAATCTCGAAGTGACTGCCCTTTCCTGAGACACGTTGTCTGAGACAGACGTCTGGAGATGGAAGAGGGTTGACAGGGTTTCCCAGAGGGTGGTCTCTAACCCCATGGACCCGCAGAGATTTCTCAGGACCTTCAGCACCCGGTGATCACCAGTTAGCTGGCCGTGGAGGCAGTATGCGTGGTGTTTAAGAGCATGAACAGGCCGGGCGCGGTGGCTCACGCCTGTAATCCCAGCACTTTGGGAGGCCGAGGCGGGCGGATCACGAGGTCAGGAGATCAAGATCATCCTGGCTAACAAGGTGAAACCCCGTCTCTACTAAAAATACAAAAATTAGCCAGGCGTGGTGGCACGTGCCTGTAGTCCCAGCTACTCGGGAGGCTGAGGCAAGAGAATGGCGTGAACCCGGGAGGCGGAGCTTGCAGTGAGCCGAGATTGTGCCACTGCACTCCAGCCTGGGCGACAGAGCGAGACTCTGTCTCAAAAACAAACAAACAAACAAACAGAAAAAGAGCATGAACAGAGTGCCAGGGTTCAAGTCCCAGCCCTCACTTACCCTCTGAGTGGGTTACTCAGCTGCTCAGGGCCTCGGTTTTCTGACCTGGAAAATGGAGAAAACAGAGATAACAGTGACATTCACGGTGAGATCACGCTAGTGAACGAAACGCTAAGCCGGGCACACAGTCGGTGTTCTGTGTTCGTTATCAGAAGTTTCCTCTGTAGAGCCCTCAAGATTTGTCTCTCCCTCTACCCTCTATCGTGTTGTGGAGTGGAGGGTCCGAGAGTGCCAGGATTGGACAGAATGTAGACAGAAAAAAGCAAACTATGGCAACGCGAAGGAAAGCAACTGCCACATTTTAGCTTGGAGGATGCTGAAAATAGCTTGTTCAAGCCTTTGTAGATAAAAATGTAAAATGTACGCAAATGTATGTGACTCACGCAGAAGCATACATCCATAGCTCCCTCACAGTCAGCGCCGGATGTGGCCATCAGGAAAACCCCACAGTGTGGGGAGAGGGCCCGAGCGTTCTTGCTTGTTGTTGTTTTGAGGAGGGGACGGTGCTGCTGCCTCCTGGGCTGGTGGCTCCTGGTGGCGGCAGCTCACGCCCGTTTCCACCTTTCCCCTGGGCTGTCTTCCGAGAGTTCCAGGTGGGAAGAAGAGATGCCCTTGGCCCCTCATGGCTCCTCCGGCCTCGCGGTCCTCCGAGAGCCTGCTCGTTCCCTTCCCATGCCGAAGCTCTATTTCTGGAGCGTCTCATTGGAGATGCACGCCCCCTCCCTGCCAAGCTCCAGGTGCCTGCTTGGCCCTCCCAATCCTGTGTGCTAGTCAGGGACGGTGGGAGGGTGACAGCTGCAGGGAGGGGCGGCAAGAGACAGCGCTGGTGCCTGAGCCAGGAGGATTGGGGCGGAGGGAGCCCTGGGGACGCAGGGACGGGCTAATAATATTGAAAACCACTTCTGCTGCAGCCACCTGTAGAGGCTTCCCCACCCAGAGCATCATCCTGTGCGTCTCCCAGGGGCTCCCCAGCCTGTGATGAGTGGGTGACCCCCATCTCCCCTGGGGCAGCTGCAGAGGCCTCTGCCCAAGCAGCTTATGGGGCTTCCTCTCAGCATCCTGGGGGAGGAGCTGCTTCTCCCCTTAAGAACTAGATGTGTGTGTGTCTGTTTGGAGTGATGAGGACCGACCCCCACACCCCTCCAGCGTTCTGCGGGTGCCGACCACACTGCCCCCGGCAAAGGCCAGGCTGACTTAACCTTCCTGGTAGGCCTCTGTAGGGCTGGGCTCCCAGAAGTTTTCCCCTTAAGCTGCCTGGGGATGGGGTGGGGTGGAGACAGCTCCGGTATCTGAAATGTCACTATCTGGGGTACCGGGCCCCCTGGGTGGGCCCCACTGCTTCCCTTTCCCTGGGTTCAGGAAGGGGCTTCAGCCCCACTGCCCTGGACCCCCCTGGCCTGACTCCCCTCCTGTCCTTCCCTGCTCCAGGGTCGCTTGGCCCAAAGAGGTCTGTGGGGAAGCTGCCATGGCTCCCACAGAATCAGCCCACAGGAGACAGGCATGGGGCCCCCAATCTCTTCACTGCCCTTGGGCGAGGGGGTCTTCCTTAGAGGGAATTTCGTCTCTAAACGGTCATTTCTCAGGCCTCTTGACCCGACTTCCCACCATTTCTAGGTGATGATGCAAACACGATGGGCTTTCCAGGCCGCGGCTCGGGGTCCCCAGGAGGGGTCCTGGAGGGGAACGCGTGGAGCCCTTGGGGCTTCTCCTGGCTCCAGTTTGTCCTCCGCCCAGGAGGGGCACATGTGGGACTGTCCTGGCCCCACAGCCCCCGTGACTTCGGTCCTCCCGGGTCTCCACCCGCCCCCCTCCATGTGTGGCGGGAACGGCCGCGCTCAGAGGTCAGGGGTGTGGAAAGGGACGAGCGGGGGAAGGTTCGGGAGGAGAGAGGCGCGTCCCGCGGCGCGCAGGACGTTCACCCCGTGGGTCCCGCAGCGGGTCTGGCTGGGGAGGGGCCCGGCCGCCGCTCCCGCCCGCGAAGCCGCGCTTGGAGATCCCGGGCGGGAGGTGATGTCACCCCTGTGGGCTCCCGGGCCCCCCACGGCACCTGGTTTGCGGATCGCCAGGATCCTGCTGAGCCCGGCGCGGGGGGGACGAGGGGGACCTGGGTCTGCGCCGCCGCCTGGAGACCCCCCGAGACCCCCGCGGCCCCTCCTCGCCCAGCGCCGGAGCCCCGCTGCCCCCTTAGCCCGGCCGGGGGCGTCCTGCGGAGGGCGGAGCCTCGAGCCGATTGGTCCCTCCCCGCCCCGCCCCCGCACCAAAGCCCCGCCCCCGCACCAAAGCCCCGCCCCACCACGAAGCCCCACCCCCGCCCCGCCCCCCGCGAAGTTGCTCATCGGTTCCGGGATCCGCAGCTGGGCTCGGCGCGGCCGCTGGGGCCGGGAGGGTTCGGGAGGGTTTTGGGGGCTCCCGCCCCGCCCTCGCCCCTGCCCCGGCCGCCCCGCGCTCCTCCCGGGGACCTGGTTCCCGGCCTCCTCGCCCCTCCGCGCTCGCAACTTCGGCCTCCCCCGGCTCCCGCCCGCTCTCCCTCCTTTGTTGCGCGATGAGGGTCGGGTTTCGGATCTGACCGAGCCGCCGCCGCGGGATGGAGCCGCTCAGCCACCGGGGCCTGCCGCGCCTGTCCTGGATCGACACCCTCTACAGCAGTACGTGTGCCGGGCGGGGGCGGGACCCCAGGATCGGGATCGGGACCCCAGGATGGAGATCGGGACCCCAGGATCGGGATCGGGACCCCAAGATCGGGATCGGGACCCAGGCACCGGGCTGGTCCGGGGAGCGCGGGCGGGGGCGAGATCGGGGTCCGGATCGGGGTCGGGTTGGGAATCGGGATCGGGGTCGGGACCCAGGAGCCGGGCTGGTCTGGGGGGCGCGGGCGGGGGGTCCCCAGAGAGGATTCCTGCGGTCCGGGGGCGGGGACCGTGGGCGGACCGAGCCGAGAGCTGCGTCCCCCCTCCCACCTGTTGTGAACCCGGCCTCCGCGAGCCTCAGGGGAGGGAGGCCCTTCTGGGTGCTGCCCCCGCCCCTGGACCGGCAGCTTCTCTGTCCAGGCTGAAGCCGAAAGGCCGTTTTGGGAGCAGTCGTTGGCACCCGAGTTTGCCACCCCAGGGGCACCGGGTCATGTGTGGTTCAGGGCCCAGGGGTTCGGTGCTGGGGTGGGATCGGGTGGGAGGGGAGACGGGGGGTGCAGATATCCGCGGGGGCCGTTTGGATGCGGGAGCTGAAAATCCCGGGCTCAGCAATCTTTCCTGCCAGCCTCATCACCACCCCCACCCTCATCATCACCACCACCCTCAGAAGAAAAAAAAAACAAACCTTCTCGAGTTCTCCACCCCCTCGCTCCCAAATCTCTCTGGATCATGTGATTGCTCTTGCATGGCCCCGGGGGATGCGTAACTGATCACGGGTAATGGTGTGGGGGGGCTTGGGGCGAACCGAGAGCCGCCCCCCGCCCCCACCACCGCACCTTGCTCCTGCTCCGTTGCTAGAAAGGCACCGCCCCTTCTCCCCACCCTTCCCTGAGACACCTTTCCCGAAAGCTCTCAGGGATTAGGAAGAGGGTCCTCCTGGGCTTACATAGTGGATTTCGCCCTTCCTGGCCCACGTGAGTGGGACCCTCCCACTCTCTCAGCACATCTCCCAGGCAGGAGTTGGGGGAGGCACGTGGGGCCACGTGGAGCCTGGTTCAGCCTGATTCTAGGCACTGGATGCCATGGAACAGGAGCGTTTTCTTTCTTTTTTTTTTTTTTTGAGACGGAGTCTCGGCTCTGTCGCCCAGGCTGGAGTGCAGTGGCGCAATCTCCGCTCATTGCAACCTCTGCCTCCCGGGTTCAAGTGATTCTCCCGCCTCAGCCTCCTGAGTAGCTGGGATTACAGGTACCCACCACCACTCTCGGCTAATTTTTTGTATTTTTAGTAGAGATGGGGTTTCACCATGAGGCCAGGCTGGTCTCAAACTCCTGACCTCAGGTGATCCACCTGCCTCAGCCTCCCAAAGTGCTGGGATTACAGGCGTGAGCCAACAAGGGCATTTGTAAGGGTCATCCCAGCTAGAGTTCCTTGATAAGTCATATGGGGGGGGTGGGGGGAGTAGAGAAGGGTGATGCCTTGAGCCCCAAAGCCTTACTCTGGAGGCTGTGTGGTACCCAACATTCAACCTCTGACCTCAGCATCCCCTTGGGTCCAGGTCATTCCCTGTATCTTCTTCTCCACCCGCCTCCTCCTCCATCCATGTTCCTTCCTCTCCTCCCCCCAGGAGCTGTCCTTGTGATGGTTCATTCTGCTTTGGTTTCTCAACATCAAAGGGGCAAAGCCGGATCCCCTGGGCATAGGTCCTGTGCCAGGTGCCGCCGCTCCATCTGCTCCTTCCCCTGCAGAGGCCAGCGTCGTTGGGTGAAGGTCAGGGCCCATGGCTGTGTGGCATGTGCGTGCACGTGCGTCTGCATGAATGGGGGCACACATCTGTTCGGAGCGCAGATGCAGATCAGCTCCTGACCCGGAGGCAGGATTAGTGGCCCTCTCTTAGCTGTGTGCTTGCAAACAGCCGTCATAACAATGCCTCAGATTCACGCGTGCTTATGTTCCTGAGTGTTTCTGGCTCTTTGCAAAACCCAGTTCTTGTTTCCCTATTTCCCGAAGCCTGGAATCGTATGGAACCCTGTCTCTAGCTTTCTCTGCAGCAGAAGACTCCTCTGAGCTGATCATTTCCAAGTCTTCCATACCCCACCCTCTTCCTCCCACGCCTGGAGCAAAAAAGCAAAATTGCCTGAGGCCACCTTGAAAATTCCTGACCAGAGGAATGCCAGAAAAGGGAATTAGGCCAAGGCCTCTTAGGGGGTTCTGTTGGGCAGCCCTGATTCAGGCAGATTGGCACCTGAGCTGTCTACCCTCCTGCTGCTGCCCTGGCCTCTGGGCGGCTCCTGGGGTGGCCTGGATGGTGGGTGGGAGGGGGCACTGATGTGGCCGCAGTGTGAGGAGTCCCTGCCTCCCTCTTCGGAACAGCTTAGTGGAGAGCTGTAGCAGGAGGCTTCCCGGGGAGGTGCTGTGCAGTCATGTTTGGGCTGTTAGCCATCAACTTTCCTCTTGACAAGAGCCTAAATTAAAACAAATACCCGAGCTGTCATTTGCCTGGCAGCAAGGTTTTGTGGCTCCCAGAGGAAGTTCCTCTGCTTCTCAGGAAGCTGTTTGCTTACAAGGCTCACAGTCCTGGGGTGACAAATCTCCACAAATGCCAGATCCATCGGGAACTGTAAAGGGGGTATACCCAGGGCACAGGGTGGCAGTGTGACTTAGAGATGGGAATGACTCGGTGTTAGAGGTTCCCTGCCTTCCTCTCTCTGAGCATTGTTCCTGGTAACAATGATAATAGCGTCTCCTGAGCACCTACTGTATGGCAGGCACTGGGATAGTCACTTTCTCTTTCTTTCTTTTTTCTTTTTTTTTTTTGTTTTTTGTTTTTTGTTTTGTTTTGAGACGGGGTCTCCGTCTTTGCCCAGGCTGGAGTGCAGTGGTGCGATCTTGGCTCACTGCAACCTCCACCTCCTGGATTCAAGCAGTTCCCCTGCCTCAGCCTCCTGAGTAGCTGGGATTATGGGCGCCTGCCACCACAACCCAGCTAAGTTTTGTATTTTTAGTAGAGATGGGGTTTCACCATATTGGTCAGGCTGGTCTCGAACTCCTGACCTCAGGTGATCTTCCCACCTTGGCCTCCCAAAGTGCTGGGATTACTGGCGTGAGCCACTGCGCCCGGCCTGTGCTAGGCACTTTCTATCCATTCTCTCCAAATCTCACAACTCTGCAACTCTTACAGAGTAGGAAAGTGAGGCTCAGTTAGCATAAATCATAGACCTAAGATCACATAAGTAACAAATGGCTGAGCTGGAATTCAGGTTGTACCCTAGAATAATGAGGAGGATCCCGAGTACCACCTGGGTATGTCTGAGTTTATTCAAGGTCTTGGGATGTCACGGAATGGGGGACGCCATTCTCTATGGTCCTCTGTTGCAGAGTTCTCCCTGAAACGGTCCAGCAGGGTAAATGGCTTCAATGGCTCTGACCCCAACCTGGCCCTGTGCCTCTTGCAGGACCTGGGGGCTGGGCCTGGAGCCCAGGCAGGGACAGCTGAGGCTGTCTGAACCCACTGAGGCTGGTGGCTCTCTGCTCCTAAGGTGCCAGCCTGCCAGCCAGCCCCTCCCCTCACACACTTCTTTTTTTTTTTTGACACGGAGTCTCGCTCTTTCACCCAGGCTGGAGCTGGAGTGCAGTGGCACTATCTCAGCTCGCTGCAAGCTCCACCTCCCAGGTTCACGCCATTCTCCTGCCTCAGCCTCCCGAGTAGCTGGGACTGCAGGCGCCCGCCACCACGCCCGGCTAATTTTTTGTGTTTTTAGTAGAGACGGGGTTTCACCGTGTTGGCCAGGATGGTCTCGATCTCCTGACCTCGTGATCCACCCGCCTCGGCCTCCCAAAGTGCTGGGATTACAGGCGTGAGCCACCGCGCCCGGCCCTGAACACACTTCCTGCCTTTGGGGTTGGCAGTTCATTCTTTCTGGTTTTGACAGGAGGAGTGTGCCCACTTCCATCACAGGTTTGGTGGTCATTTGATGAGGGTTGGGCAGCAAACCCTCCATCTCTCCTATGGTAGAAGTCCTGAAGGGCTGCGGTAAGTGTGATTTGTCTGCCTCAAGGAGAAGAGTTGGATCCCAGCTGCCAGGGGCCCTGGGGCTGATGGGAGCAGAGTCCTTTCCCTGTGGAGTGACAGATGGTTTCAGACATCCCCCAGTTCTTGTGTCTGCGCCACTCATTTGCCTGTATTAATGTAGCAATGTCAGTTTCACCCCTCAGTACCTTACCTTTCTCTCCCTGGGGTTGCTATGATGCTCTCTCTGAGGCTCTCTTTTTTTTGAGACAGAGTCTCGCTCTCTCGCCCAGGCTGGAGTGCGGCGGTGCGATCTCGGCTCACTGCAACCTCCGCCTCCCCGGTTCAAGCGATTCTCCTGCCTCAGCCTCCTGAGTAGCTGGGATTACAGGTGCCCGCCACCACACCCGGCTAATTTTTATATTTTTAGTAGAGACGGGGTTTCACCATGTTGGCCAGGCTGGCCTCCAACTCCTGACCTCAGGTGATCCACCCGCCTCGGCTTCCCAAAGTGCTGGGATGACAGGCGTGAGCCCCTGCGCCCGGCCATGTTTTCTTGGTCATAATGCCTCTAGGTCTTTAATCACCCTTTCTGCTAAACACGTATCATCTTCTCTTTGTTATTTTTTTATTTTATTTTTTTATTTTTATTTTCCCAATCCCATGGGATTAGATTGGATTAAATGGGAGCGGAGTAGCCCAAAATGGGGGTGGAGGTGTGCTCTGACACTTTCTTGGTCCCTGGGATTCTCCAAGCAGATCTGGATCAAGACATACGTGTGCCCCAGGCAGGTTGATCATCTGGCACCTCTTCAACTGGAAAATCTTTATATGTGTGTTTAGGACTTACTTAGAGGAGAGGCAGAGGCTGTATTTAAAGCCTCTCCCTTTGCCACTTCGGCCTCCATTTGGTCCCAAGTAATTTAGTCCTGGTGTCAAACATACCTTCCCTGCTGAGCCAAGCAAGAGCCTGCAGTGGCTTGGCCGTCATGGAAGGCAGAACGTGACCATCTGTTGTTACTAGAGCCTGCTTTTTGGAGCTCACTTCTCTTACCCCAAGCAACATTTCCAAGGGCGATTTCATTCTCTTGTGATATTTTCATGCCCTTTATAGATTCAGTGCCCCATCTATGGGCCAGGAAAGTATTTGGAGCAGTGGAGATGTAAGCCTGTCTCCAGGTGAGCATGAGCCTACCTCAGTTTCTCATCTGAGCCCCACATTCTCTACACCAGGGACCAAGCCACTGGTCTGACAGCCTGTGTGCGTTTGATCAGAGCAGTTCAGTTCTCGGGGCCGCATCAGACCCCTCCGTGTGTGCTAGTGAGCGCCTGCTGGCAGATGCTTGCTTGTTTTCGGAATAGCCCAGTAATTTATTCCTTTTTGTCAACACCGGCCCATAATCTTCATGGCTGCTGGAGTCTCAGAGGTGGGGCTGGCAGAAGAATTAAGTCATCTACTCAGAGAAACTTAGGTTTCTGTGGTTGTGATTGTTGGCTACTGTTGTTCTTCGGGAAAAGGAAGGAAATTTGTGGGGAATTGGCTGGAAGATGCTGTTAGGAGGATGGAAGATGGGGAATGGCGGGGAGGCTCTGCCTCACTCTTGCGAGTAGGATGGAAGACTTGTTCTCTGTCTGAGGTAT
Organism: Homo sapiens; assembly: GCF_000001405.40. Lineage (NCBI taxonomy): Eukaryota > Metazoa > Chordata > Mammalia > Primates > Hominidae > Homo > Homo sapiens. The sequence goes on along the minus strand of NC_000017.11, from coordinate 1,174,036 downwards.
GATCTGCTTTCTGGGACAATTCCGGTACCTTCCTTCGTAGAGGGAGGGCATGATGGCTCTCGTGGGTGTTGTGTGGATTAATTCATATTTATAAAGTGCTTTGAAGGTGAGGAGAGCTATTGAGCAGCTCAGCTGTCCAGCTCATTGCGCTCCTCATCCGGGAAAGCCTCGAGGGACTGGGAGAGGCCGGCACAGGACTTAGGAAGGGGCAGGGAATGTGGCAGGAGGACCGGCAGGAACAGGGTATCAGACCAGCTCTGAGGCAGCGCCTCCCACAGCGGCTCCCGCACAGGCCCTCCATAGGTGTTGGTTGTCTGAGTACGGGTGGGAAAAAGAAAACTCGAGTTCTTGGCTCCTTGAGCTCCTCCCCGCAGCAGAAACCCCTGTTAGCTGAAACCTGTCAGCTGGCCCGTCCATGCGTTTCCGGCTGTGTGGATTTGGTCATTGTACTCGCTCGTAGTGGAGTCAGAGACCCCCAAAGGGAGTCTCGCGCTTTTGCCAGGGTTTATGATTGGAGGACTTCACTGCCAGCGTTGGCGGCAGCTGTTTGGCTGAGCTTGAGCCCTTTGGGCGCAAACCTAGGGCAGGCGGCTTCAAGACAACCCTGCGCCCACTGCCCCTGCCAGGCCCTTGGTGGTGGCGGGTGTTGGTGATGTGTGGGGGGTGGGCTGAGGTGATGTGTTGAGTGGACTGAGGTGATGTGTTGGGTGGGCTGAGGTGATGGGGGGGGTGGACTGAGGTGATGTGTTGGGTGGGCTGAGGTGATGTGTTGGGTGGGCTGAGGTGATGTGTTGGGTGGGCTGAGGTGATGTGTTGAGTGGACTGAGGTGATGTGTTGCGTTGACTGAGGTGATGTGTTGGGTGGACTGAGGTGATGTGTGGGGGGTGGACTGAGGTGATGTGTGGGGGGTGGACTGAGGTGATGTGTTGGGTGGGCTGAGATGATGGGGGGGGTGGACTGAGGTGATGTGTTGGGTGGACTGAGGTGATGTGTTGGGTGGGCTGAGGTGATGTGTTGGGTGGACTGAGGTGATGTGTTGGGTGGACTGAGGTGATGTGTTGGGTGGGCTGAGGTGATGGGGGGGGTGGATTACCTGCTCTGTTCTATATTCTTGGCACTTTTCTCCAAGTGACTGTTTGTACCAGGGGGAGAGTTCTGCAGCTCACCCATCTCTGGGGCTGTGATAGGGGAGGCTGTTTGTGACATGTGACCTTGGCTTGTCCCCACATGTGAGAAAGTCCATTGCTGCTGTGGGGAGTAGCTTGCTTTTCTTTTCTTTTTTTTTTGAGATGGAGTCTTGCTCTGTCACCCAGGCTGGAGTGCAGTGGGGCAATCTCGGCTCCACTGCAACCTCCACCTCCTGGGTTCAAGCGATTCTCCTGCCTCAGCCTCCTGAGTAGCTGGGATTACAGGCATGTGCCACCACACCCAGCTAATTTTTGTATTTTTAGTAGAGACGGGGTTTCACCATGTTGGCCAGGATGGTCTCGATCTCGTGACCTCGTGATCCACCCATCTCGGCCTCCCAAAGTGCTGGGATGACAGGTGTGAGCCACCGTGCCCGGCCCAGGAGTAGCTTGCATTTCTTAGGGCAAGATATGGTCAGTTGGGGACATGACGCTGCTGGGAGCAGCGGGAATGTTCCACTGGTCCCTGAAGCTTGAGGAGAACCTGACCCAGAGACCTTGTGAAGGGGGAAGGAGAAAGAAATCAGGCCAATAGGCAGGCTACGGAAGGCACCCCCGTATGGAGGCTGAAGATAATGCCCAATCCCACCCCTGCCTGGGCATTTGGCAAAGAGCCCTTTGAGGCGGGACCATCTGAGGCCGTGGCCACTTGTGGATGGAGCAGCGGGTTCTCTGTCCCCGGGTCGAGACCTGACTGGGGCCTCTCGCCCAGTTTTTTGTCCAGGCTTTATCCTGTGTCCTCCTCCTGCCCTTCCTTCCTCCCCACACACACTAGACCGAAAGATGAATCTGGGTTTACTGGCTGTATGGAAAATGTCAGAGTCAGCCTGGGCTTCAGTAGATAGAGCCAGATGTGGTCGGCTCTGTGGTGACCTGATTGATTAATCGGGTGCCACTCCCCTCTTTCTTCATTTTTTTGAGACAGATTTTCACTCTCGTTGCCCAGGCTGGAGTGCAGTGGTGCGATCTCGGCTCACTGCAACCTCCGCCTCCCGGGTTCAAGCAGTTCTCCTGCCTCAGCCTCCCGAGTAGCTGGGATTACAGGTGCTGCCACCACGCCCGGCTAATTTTGTATTTTTAGTAGAGAAGGGATTTCTCCATGTTGATCAGGCTGGTCTCGAACTCCTGACCTCAGGTGATCCGCCCACCTCGGCCTCCCAAAGTGCTGGGATTACAGGCGTGAGCCACCGTGCCTGGCCTCACTCACCTCCTTCTTGTCCCTGCCCTCACCTCTGATGCCTTGGTGTGCCTCTAGGTCACAGGTGGACATGGCACACGTGATTGGGCATCTTGCCTAAGGCTAGCAGGGTCTCCAGGAAGTCTTGGGTGGCTGGGAGGCCTCAGGTAAACCAGAGCCAAGGAAGCTCAGAGTCCTTGTCACTCCGGGCAGCTTGGCTGCTGGACTCCCCGGGGCATCGGTGGAGCTGGTGCTGCCTAGAGAAGCCTGGTATTGAGCAGGGATCTGTGGGCTTACTCGGGGCTGTTGGGGAAGGATGTGGCCATCATTACCTTCGTGGGATTGAAGGGCTGCTTCTGTGAGTGTTCTGGGCTAACCCCTTCCTCCTGGGCAGCGGCTCCTGGTCAGCAGCAAAGGTTTAATGGATCGAGATTACGGGGACCAAAGACGCCGTGTAATTAAGCCAGTTATTTCTCTGGCTGGGAACATCTACTCCTCACAGCCGCAATTGACTTCGTCACTTGTGGTTACCCCGTTCGCGTTACCTCGGGCCTAAACAGCCCATACGTCATCTTTTTGAGGGAGTCTCTCCCTTGGAGGCAAAGTTTTAGGAGAAAGATCCCTCTGGGAGTTGTAGAGTCGGCGTGGCAGTGTGTGCTATTGAAGGTGAAGTTTTAGGAGAGAGACCCCTCTGGGAGTTGTGGGGTCAGCGTGGCAGTGTGTGCTATGCAAGAGTGCCCCCTGCAGTTGTTCTGTGCAATGGCGCCCACGGGAGCCTCTTTGGGAACTGTGTCTGGGTTCTGTAGAGGGACATAGATAGAAACCTCATCCTTGGGTCTCCCAGGATCCTGGGGTCCCGTGAAAAGAAAGTCCATCAGTCCTGATGGATTCATAGAAACTAGTTTTTAATTTGGTTTAGAAAGAATGGAAGAGACAGGCCAGGCACGGTGGCTCACGCCTGTAATCCCAGCACTTTGGGAGGCCGAGGTGGGTGGATCACCTGAGGTCAGGAGTTGGAGACCAGCCTGACCAACATGATGAAACCCCGTTTCTACTAAAATACAAAAATTAGCCAGGCATGGTGGCAGGCACCTAGAATCCCAGCTACTCGGGAGGCTGAGGTAGGAGAATTGCTTGAATCCGGGAGGCGGAGGTTGTAGTGACCTGAGATCACGCTGTTGCACTCCAGCCTGGGCGACAGAATGAGACTCCATCTCAAAATAAATAAATAAATACATAAACAAACTAAATTAATTAATTCAAGGTCGCAGACTACAAGCCAGGGACTGTGCGCTCGGTTGGCCCTGCTGTAAACTGTGTTCTTTCTCCCGCACTCTTACCCTTCACAGCGGTGCTGGTGGGGGCTCCTTGACGCTGGTATTTCACTGAGGTTGATGGATCTGGGTTCATTTCTCTAGCTAGAAAGACAGTTGTGAAGACTGCGTCTTGCCCCCAAGCCCCCGTGATATGAGGAGACAGCCCTCTGCCCCAGGCATCCTGGAAGCACTGGGAGCATCCACCAACTGGGCTGCCTCTTCCTAGGGGCATGAGCCTAAGGAGGTCTCCTCATGGGCACTTGGAGCCCACGTGCCTGCATTGCTGTGTTCCTGGAATTATTGGCAAGAAGTGCTGATTGTTAACATACACAAACACACCCCCCCCCCACACACACACACACAAACACAAACACAAACACACCCCCCCATACAAACACAAACACAGAGAAAGGGAGAGTGAGAATAGACTTTGGCGGTTGGGATGGAGCAGGGCCAGTGCCCAGTTTCTAGAGCGAGGCCAGGGGCGAGGACGCGGGGATTTGGCAGAGCCCAAGCGTGCTGGCCCTGCTCTCCAGCCTTTTAAAATCCACCTCCACATTTCAAAAGGAAAATAAAGAGAGCCCTCAGCCATAAATCAGGCCACTGAGCATCGAGGTCCTTTGCCGAGGCCCAGGGCCTGCTGGGCTGCAGAGCCAGCTGCTGTGTTTGAACTCTCCCGCGCGCAGCATGTTAATGACGGGGCAGACCCTCCAGACCCAGGCTCACACCCACGACGGCCCTCGAGCCCAGAGAGTCCCCCACGGAGAGGTCAGCCCCTGGGGAAGGCCTGTGTCTGGGGGGCTTACACCTTAGCGGAGCCCCCTTTGGCTGGGACTTCAAATCAAGCCAGACCCTTCTGTAGCTCTGGATTCTGGCCAGATGAAAGGTAACCCCTGACACAGATCTTTTGAGCCCATTTCCCAATAGGAATAAAAGTAACAAAGCAATTGATTGGACACCTCACGGGTGCAAGAGTAGAGCGAGCGTTCTCACATTCGTGATCTCATTTCATCTTCACAGTAAACCTATGAAAGGTTGTTACCCTGATTTTAAGGATAAGAAGGGGGATTGGCCATTGTTCTTGGCCTCTGCTGGTGACTTCTGCCATGGGGGGCACCCTGAGGGGGACGCACCAGGTCTTCTCTGCCCTCCTCTGCTCACCCTCTTCCTGCGTGGCGGAAGCTCAGGCATCATCTGGCTTTGTGAGTGCCTCTGTCTAGACAAAACCCACGTCCTCCCTCCCTCCTCTTTCCCCTGCAGGGCCAGCTTTGGTGTTAATGGAGCAGAAAGCCTTGGTAGTTACTTTGCGAGTGCGTCACGGGGAGGGTCATGAGAGACCAGCTGGCGTCCACCCAGCCGCGTGGAACAGCCACCTTGACTTGGTCGAGGCCAGCAAGCGTCTTGCAGACCCCGTGGCAGCTCCTGACCCACGTTCCCCCTTGGGAGGCCTGGATGAGCTGGGGCACCAAGTGCCATCTTTGGGTGTAGAATCTTCAGAAACCAAAGGCAGGAGCTGATTCGGTCTCCTGCTCCCTGGGAAGAAAGGATGGAACGCACATTGGCTGTCAGGAGAGCTGCTGCTTCTAGCCGGAGGACCTTGCTGCAGCTGGTCAGCTGCCAGCACAGCCAGGCCCTTGTTGTGGGTGCCTGCCGTGTCTGTCCTCAAGCCCCTCCCTGAGTGAAGGACACTGTTCCCTTTCCAACTGCCTGTGGCTGTGCTAGACCATTTTCTCTCCTTTGCCCAGAAACCTTCAGTGGGTTCAGTGGGGCATTGCCTTTCCCACCACATTCAGTCCAGACTGGGGGAACCTCTTGTTATCCATTCCAGTTTCCCAGCACACTGCCCATTCTCTAGCCAGTAAGGCCTCTCACCATCCTGCAAAGCTCTGTGCTCCAAGGATCTAACCAGCTTCAAGCCTCAGCTCAGCTACCACCATCTCCAGGAAGTCCTCCAGGCCTGATTCGAGCACTGGCCTTAGTGAGATCCCTGGCTCAGAGTCCCTAATGCTGATTGCTCCGGCTCACATCGCTTAGCACTTTCTTATCTTTTTTTTTGAGACAGAGTCTCGCTCTTGTCGCCCAGGCTGGAGTGCAATGGTGCAATCTCCACAACCTCTGCAGTGCTCACTGCAACTTCCACCTCCCGGGTTCCAGTGATTCTCCTGCCTCAGCCTCCCGAGTAGCTGGGATTACAGGTGTGCGCCACCATGCCCGGCTAATTTTGTATTTTTAGTAGAGACGGGATTTCTCTATATTGGTCAGGCTGGTCTCGAACTCCCGACCTCAGGTTATCTGCCCACCTCGGCCTCCCAAAGTGCTGGGATTACAGGCGTGCGCCACCACGCCCGGCTAATTTTTGTATTTTTAGTAGAGACGGGGTTTCACCATGTTGGCCAGGCTGCTTTGAACTCCTGACCTCAAGTGATCTGTCCGCCTCGGCCTCCCAAAGTGCTGGGATTACAGGCGTGAGCGACCCGCCCGGCCGATATCGTGTTGTTTTATAGTGTTTACCTGCACAGTGTTTCATGCCAGTTGTCATTTCTTCTCTGCCAGACTCTCAACTCCTTAGAGGCACGAGGGAGAATAACAAAGGCTTCCGTGATAGGATGCCAGACATTGTCCTCTCTGCTTTGCTAACAGTATCTCATTTAGCCTCCGGCAACCTGCTGAGTTCTTAGCCATTTTTATCCTGTTTCATGCTTCCCCAAGACTTCCCAGAGGTCACACAACACATCTGTCTTGACGCCTCAGCCTGTGTTCTTTGCCAGAAGCGCCCAATGCCAGGGCCTGGGGCATGAGACCTCAGGTTGGGGCCCAGGCCTCTGCATGTCTGAAAAGCTCCTCGGCTTACTCCCTCCGCTCGGGGGACCAGCCTTTCACCATGGTGGTTCTCCCTTCCCCGCAACACCCAGCTAGGCACCGAGCAGGTGGAACCCTGGGAAATGCTGCTTTGTGATTGGTTGGAGTCAGGGGTGGCTATGAAGATGCTGCTTTGTGATTGGTTGGAGTTGGGGGTGGCTATGAAGAGACGAAGTGCTCTAGGGCTCTGGGTGTCTGGATCCAGCACTGGGGATGCCCCGGAGAGTCCTGGAGCAGGGAGGATCCAAGCAGGAGGTGGAGCTGGGTGTTAGGAGGGCAGAAGGGCCATCAGAAGGGGATACTGGAGACATCCAACTGGTGGCCTCTCTCTCCGCCCAGCCAGAGCTCAAGGCTTTGCCTCACCCCGAGAAGATAAATCACTGGGGTATCACGGGGTCCCCCAGCCCCCGTGCCATGATGGACATGCACATTTTGATTTGGCAGGTCCGGAGCTCAGATTCTGCATTTCCTTTGTTTGCTTGTTTGTTGTTTTTGAGACAGAGTCTGGCTCTGTCACCCAGGCTGGAGTGCAGTGGCGCGATCTCAGCTCTCACTGCAGCCTCTGCCTCCCAGTTCAAGCGATTCTCCTGCCTCAGCCTCCCAAGTAGCTGGGACTACAGGCGCGTGCCACCATGCCCAGCTAATGTTTCTGTATTTTTAGTAGAGACAGGGTTACACCATGTTGGCCAGGCTGGTCTCAAACTCCTGACCTCAGGTGATCCGCCCGCCTCGGCCTCCCAAAGTGCTGGGATTACAGGCGTGAGCCCCTGCGCCCGGCCTGGATTCTGCATTTCTAGCAAGTCCCAGGTGAGGCCCGCGCTGCCCACACTGGATGGGAAGGACCAGGCGCCTGCAGCATCTGCCCTCCAAGCCTTCGTAGCTCCCTCCTTCCTGCAGGATAAACTCTAAACTCCTTAGCACAACGTGGGAGCCTTCTCAGAGACTGGGTCCAACCCATCTCCAGCCGCAGCCTCCCCTCCTGGCCCCACTGCCACACCCCCGGGCCTCCGGCCACACTGAGCCTCTCCCGGTTTCCCAGGATACAACACTCGCCCATTCATAGTGTGGTGCCTTTTGCACGTGCTGTTCCTCTGCTTGGGGATGCTGTTGGTCTTTCTCAGCCAGGTGAAGAGGACGCTGAATGTCACCTGCTTGAGTATCAGGACCGGGGACTGGGCACTGGACCTAGACTCTTGGCCCTGGAGAGAAGCCCTGCATGGGGCCGCAGCCTGCCCCCGTCCCTGCTCACAGAAAAGCTCAGCCTTGCAGCCGCGTGGAGTCAGACGACTTGCCTGTCCTGCTTTGAACGTGTGGTGTTCCTACCACCTTTGAGTAAAAATAGAGCTGAGAATGACCGAAGTGAAACTCCACCTTGGGCTCTGGGAGAGCAGAGGTGGGACCACGCTGGGGAGGGTGGGTGCGGACACTCCGGGGGCGGGGGCTGAGGCCATCTGCGTGGGCTCTGGGAGAGCGGAGGTGGGGACCGCGCTGGGGAGGGTGGGTGCGGACACTCCGGGGGGTGGGAGCTGAGGTCATCTGCGTGGGCTCTGGGGAGGGGGCCCTGTGAGCCGGGCCAAGCTGCCAGGCACTGGGGGTCTACGCCCTGGACTCAGAGAGACCATGGCACCCTCAAGGCTGCTCTCACTTGAAAATTTTCGTTTTGGGGCTGGACATGGTGGCCCACGCCTGTAATCCCAGTACTTTGGGAGGCTGAGGCAGGAGGATCACCTGAGGTCATGAGTTCGAGACCAGCTTGCCTAACATGGTGAAACCCCGTCTCTACTAAAATATACAAAAATTAGCTGGGCGTGGTGGTGGATGCCTGTAATCCCAGCTACTCGGGAGGCTGAGGCAGGAGAATCACTTGAACCCGGGAGGCGGAGGTTGCAGTGAGCTGAGATCACACCATTGCACTCCAGCCTGGGCAACAAGAGCACAACTTCGTCTCAGAAAAAAGAAAAAAAGAAAGTTTTCACTCTGGGCTGTGGAACTATTTCAGGACTTCCTGAGGGGTTTCCTCTGGAGCTTCCTGAGTTTCCTCCTGGACATTTTGTCTCCAGGTCCCAGCGCCAGGCAGGGGTGGCTCCCGGAAGGGCTGTGGGTGCCACCCTGGCTGACTGCAGCCCTCTCTTGCACCTCCTCCCGGCCATCCACCCGCAGGAGGTCTTCCCCCAGCACTGGCTTGTGAGGAGCTCCCTCTGCCCGGGAGAAAATGGCTCCTCCGGGTCACAGGCTCCCCTCCAGGGACTGAGGGGCATTTTTGGATTGTGGGAAGGCGCTCCAGGGCCCGGTTCTGTGGCCCCAGGCCTGTTGCTCGGCTGGGTGGAGGCACCTCTGCAGGCCGGGAGCTTGGTCTTTGAACACCTGCTTAGCCTATGACCTCCAGCAAGTTATTTATGCTCTAGTGAGCTGTGTTTTTCTCACCTTTAGAATGGGAACAATCTTACCAACCACACTGAAAGCACTGCTGAGTTTTTCAGCAAATAAAAATAAGGATGCCCCGTTAAATTAGAATTTTAGATGAACAATGAATAATTTTTAAATATAAGTATATCCCATATGGCTGGGCATATTGGGAGGCCAGGAGGATCACTTGAGGCCAGGAGCTCGAGACCAGCCTGGGCAACATAGAGAGAACTTGTCTGTAATAAAAATACAAAAAATTAGCTGGGAGTGGTGGCAGACACCTGTAGTCCCAGCTCCTACGGAGGCTGAGGTGGGAGGATGGCTTGAGCTGGGGAAGTCGAGGCTTCAGTGAGCTGAGATCATGCCTCTGCACTCCAGCCTGGGCAACAGAGTGAGACCCTGTCTCAAAAAAAGAAAAGTAAGTATATCCCATACAAAACTTAGGACATAGTAGACTGAAAGCTAGTCTGTTGCTCACCCGACGTTCATGTTCACTGGGCGTCTTGCATTTTATCTGTAGACCGAAAGCTTGTCTGTTGCTCACCTGACGTTCATGTTCACTGGGAGTCTTGCAGTTTATCTGGGGTCCCTGAGTCTGGATTCAGTGCTGTGTGTGACACTTTGCCAGGGTCCCACCTAGATGCTCCGACATCCATGTTCACTGGGCGTCTTGCAGTTTATCTGGGGTCCCTGCGTCTGGATTCAGTGCTGTGTGTGACACTTTGCCAGGGTCCCACCTAGATGCTCCGACATCCATGTTCACTGGGCGTCTTGCAGTTTATCTGGGGTCCCTGCGTCTGGATTCAGTGCTGTGTGTGACACTTTGCCAGGGTCCGTCCTACCTAGATCCTCCGACATCCATGTTCACTGGGCGTCTTGCAGTTTATCTGGGGCCCCTGCGTCTGGATTCAGTGCTGTGTGTGACACTTTGCCAGGGTCCCACCTGGATGCTCCGACATCCATGTTCACTGGGCGTCTTGCAGTTTATCTGGGGTCCCTGCGTCTGGATTCAGTGCTGTGTGTGACACTTTGCCAGGGTCCCACCTAGATGCTCCGACATCCATGTTCACTGGGCGTCTTGCAGTTTATCTGGGGCCCCTGCGTCTGGATTCAGTGCTGTGTGTGACACTTCGCCAGGGTCCCACCTAGATGCTCCGACATCCATGTTCACTGGGCGTCTTGCAGTTTATCTGGGGTCCCTGCGTCTGGATTCAGTGCTGTGTGTGACACTTTGCCAGGGTCCCACCTAGATGCTCCGACATCCATGTTCACTGGGCGTCTTGCAGTTTATCTGGGGCCCCTGCGTCTGGATTCAGTGCTGTGTGTGACACTTTGCCAGGGTCCCACCTAGATGCTCCGACATCCATGTTCACTGGGCGTCTTGCAGTTTATCTGGGGTCCCTGCGTCTGGATTCAGTGCTGTGTGTGACACTTTGCCAGGGTCCCACCTGGATGCTCCGACATCCATGTTCACTGGGCGTCTTGCAGTTTATCTGGGGTCCCTGCGTCTGGATTCAGTGCTGTGTGTGACACTTTGCCAGGGTCCCACCTGGATGCTCCGACATCCATGTTCACTGGGCGTCTTGCAGTTTATCTGGGGCCCCTGCGTCTGGATTCAGTGCTGTGTGTGACACTTCGCCAGGGTCCCACCTGGATGCGTCTTGCTCATCTTGTGACTTGCTTCTCTCTTTTGTGCCACCCCCTGGCTCCTAGAGGCCAAGCTGAAGAAAAGTTTCTATGGAATTGTCACAGAAACATTGAGATTTTGCTTTTACAGGGTCGATACAGAGTCGACACAAAAAATCACGATGCGATTGATGCAGAGTGGCCAGTGATAATAGCTAACGTTAGCCTAGCGCTTGCTGTGTGTCCTACACTGTTGCAGGCACTTTGTCTGTATTAACTCCCTTATTCTTCACAAAGTCTATGAAGAAGATACTTATCATCTCCAGTTTACAGGAGAGAACAGAGAGGCACAAATTAATGGAGCAAAAGATTAATGTTCATGTTCTTTTTTTTGAGATTGAGTCTCGCTCTGTCGCCCAGGCTGGAGTGCAATGGCAGGATCTCGGCTCACTGCAACCTCCACCTTCTGGGTTCAAGGGATTCTTTTGCCTCAGCCTCCTGAGTAGCTGGGACTACAGGCACCCAGCACCAAGCCCAGCTAATTTTTGTATTTTTATTAGAGACGGGGTTTCACCATGTTGGCCAGGCTGGCCTCAAACTCCTGACCTCGTGATCCACCTGCCTCAGCCTCCCAAAGTGCTGGGATGACAGGTGTGAGCCACTGTGCTTGGCCTAGCCTTTCAAAGTGCTGGGATGACAGGTGTGAGCCGGGGTGCTTGGCCTAGCCTTTCAAAGTGCTGGGATGACAGGTGTGAGCCACTGTGCTTGGCCTAGCCTTTCAAAGTGCTGGGATGAGAGGTGTGAGCCACATCCATTAGGGCCCGTCAGGAAGCAGATGCCACACTCAGGCTGAGGAGTGCGGGGAGAGCTATGACGGAAATGTGGGCAGGGTGAGGGCAGGGTCTGTGTCCTAGACCTGGAGGCAGAGGCCATGTGGTGAGGGCTTCTGGGCAGGAGCGTGCACAGCCCGGGTGGCCCACAGTGGGGAGCTGGGGGTACCACATCCCAGCCTCATGCCCTTGTCTTCCTCTCATCTCCTGCTGGGGTGGAAGAGAGGATGGAGAAGCAGGGAGAGGGGATCCGGAGGGGCCCACGCCAGGAAACCAGGCTGTGTCTAGGTGCAGCTGTTCTTGCCGAGTCTCTCCTGTCTGCAAAGTGAGGGTGATAAACGCCTGTCCCACGTATGTCCTGGGGCTGTTGTAAAAATCAGCTGAGAAGCTGGATGCTGGCGACGTGTGTTCACGGCGCTGTTCTCTGCCAGAGTAAGGGATAATTGTTGCTGTTGATAAACACTCACTGGGTCCTCACCACGAACTGAGTCTTTTCACATCCTCAGTTCTGCTGGGAGTCTCTAACCTCTGGAGGATGTGTCGGCAAAGGAAAGAGAAATTGCAACATTGCAGAGCCTGGATTCGAACCCAGCGTCCCCATGTAAAGTCCGTGCAGCACTGGGAGAGTCACTTAATGAGCCTCCGCAGTGAAATGCATCTCCCGGGCTGGTTTGGGGCTCCCAGGGGAATGGGTGCTATGATTACCATTAGCTAGTGGTGTAGCGGGTGGGAGAGGACCTAACAGGTGCCTTCGGCCCGGCTGTAAAAGGAGTGACTTCTGGCCGGGCGCTGTGGCTCACACCTGTCATCCCAGCACTGTGGGAGGTCGAGGCGGGTGGATCACCTGAGGTCAGGAGTTTGAGACCAGCCTGGCCAACATGGTGAAACCCTGTCTCTACTAAAAATACAAAAATTAGCTGGGTGTGGTGGTACACGCCTGTAATCCTAGCTACTAGAGAAGTTGAGGCAGGAGAATTGTTTGAACCCTGGAGGCGGAGATTGCAATGAGCCAAGATCATGCCAGTGCACTCCAGCCTGGGCTACAGAGTGAGACCTCATCTCAAAAAAAAAAAAAAAAATAGTGACTTTGACCGGGCACGGTGGCTCACACCTGTTATCCTAGCACTTTGGGAGGCAGAGATGGGAGGATTGCTCGAGACTAAGAGTTCAAGACCAGTCCGGGCAACATATCAAGACCCTGTCTCTACAAAAAAAATTTTAAAAAATTAGCCAGGTGTGGTGGAATGCCCCTAGAGTCTAAGCTACTTGGGAGGCTGAGGTGGGAGGATCATGTGAGCCCAGGAGTTTGAGCTTACAGTGAGCTGTGATCACATTCTGCACTCTGGCCTGGGCAAAGGAATGAGACCTTGTCTTAAAAAAAAAAAAGACTGGACTTGTGGGTGACGGGGATTTCCAACAAAACCTTCCCAGGATAGGTGCTGGGAAGGAGATGAGACTCAGAAAAAAAAAAAAGACTGGACTTGTGGGTGACGGGGATTTCCGACAAAACCTTCCCAGGATAGGTGCTGGGAAGGAGATGAGACTCAGACACCCCAGCCTTGTATCCCTGAGAAGGGATGGTGTCCTTGGAACGGGAATCCACATAGATATTTAGCAGGCAGGGCGGTCCAGCGACACCTGCCCGCTTCCCTCAGAAGGCACCGTCTGCAGCACTCGTACAGGTGGCGGGGCCAGAGAGCAAGGCTCGATGGAGTGACGTTGCCTCCACCGCACGGGCGTCCCACCTTGGGAGATTTCCGTATCGCTGAAGTTCCCTTTGTGGAGCGTGGCCTCTGTGAAAAGTGTTAATAATTCACGGTAGAATAGGTTCTCAGATGCGCCACGTCTGTCCTCCCCCACTTCTTCAACAGAGAATGGCAACACCTCCATTAACCTGAATGTGAGCTCCTCGGGGGTGGCCCTGGCTGAGTCATCTGCGCCGCCTCCCTCCCCAGAGCCTCGTACGCGCTCGGCGTCTGGCTGTCGTGTGAACTCAGCTCCACAGGGCAGACATTTGGTCTGTTTGCTGCTCCGTCGTACCCCTGGCACCTGGAACAGTGCCTGAACCATGAGAAGTGTTTGGTGAGTGAATGAATGAATGAAAAATGAATGAACGGACATTCACTGGGATTCAGTTCTCCTTAGAGTCAGAGAGACGTAGGTGTCAATGCTGGTTGCATGAAGCTGTTACATCTTTGAGCCTGTTTCCTCATCTGAATTTGGGGTGTAATTCCTACTGACTGTACAGTTGCAGAGCTGACATTTCATGAACTTTGCTTAAATAATGTGTGAGTGCCTGGCCCATAAGAGGCTGTGTTAGTCCTTTTGTGTGTGTGTGTGTGTGTGTGTGTGGTTTTTTTTTGTTATTGTTTTTTGTTTTTGAGACAGAGTCTTGCTCTGTCGCCTAGGCTGGAGTGCAGTGGTGTAATCTCAGCTCACTGCAGCCTCCACCTCCTGGGTTCAAGCAATTCTTGAACCTTGTACCAGAGAGGAGAGGTACAGCGGCCCTAGACCCCAGGGCTCTGCTCCTATTGGTGTAAGTGTTTCCTCCTGCGCCCTACCTCCCTGTCTCCAGGCAGGGCCTGCTGTGGGTCCCTCTCCTCTCAGCCCCAAGGGACCTGTTCCCTCCAGAAGGCACCTCCCCAAGCGGCGGCAGCGTCACGTGTGAGGCCTGCAGTTCAGGGCCAGCATCCCTCATCCCTCGCCGAGATCAGGCCCTGGAGGGGCTCCCACAGGTCTGACTCAAAGGCACAGGTCCCTGGGCCTCCCTCCTCAGCATCGTGGACCCACGACCAAGGACGTGGAAGGGATTCTGAAGATTAATGGTCGTAAGTGTCACTGGCTTTTACTGAGTGCTTCCTGTGTGTGAGTACTGCGTTCCTACTTCTCCTGTGTGTGAGTACCGCATACTTCCCTTGTGCGTGAGTACCGCATTCCTGCTTCTCCTGTGTGTGAGTACCGCATTCTTACTTCTCCTGTGTGTGAGTACCGCATACTTCCCTTGTGCGTGAGTACCGCATTCTTACTTCTCATGTGTGTGAGTACCGCATTCTTACTTCTCCCGTGTGTGAGTACCGCATTCCTACTTCTCCCGTGTGTGAGTACCGCATTCCTACTTCTCCTGTGTGTGAGTACCGCATACTTCCCTTGTGCGTGAGTACTGCATTCTTACTTCCCTTGTGTGTGAGTACCGCATTCTTACCTCTCCCGTGTGTGAGTACCGCATTCCTACTTCTCCCGTGTGTGAGTACCGCATTCTTACTTCTCCTGTGTGTGAGTACCGCATACTTCCCTTGTGCGTGAGTACTGCATTCTTACTTCCCTTGTGTGTGAGTACCGCATTCTTACCTCTCCCGTGTGTGAGTACCGCATTCCTACTTCTCCCGTGTGTGAGTACCGCATTCTTACTTCTCCTGTATGTGAGTACCGCATTCTTCTCTTGTGTATGAGTACTGCATTCCTACTTCTCTTGGACTCCTGAGAGTTCCATGACTAAGACAGTAGTTTAATATAGTTGGTTTCCTTTGTCATCCTGCATAGTTTAGTTTTACGCATTTCAAAACATTCTTCAGAGAAAGGTCCCTTGGCTTCACCAGGCTGCTGTGGGTCCAAGGCACGAAAGCATGAAGAGTCTCTGCTCATCGCCAGAGGACTGTGAGTCCCAAACAGGCTCCCTGTAGTCTGAACAGGCTTCAGCCTTCTCTGGGTAATCCTAGGCTGTGGTTACAACGGTGGCTTTGGCTGCACTGGGAGGCAGGAGATCTGGGTTTTTATTCTACCTCCGCCACTCCCATGCCAGCCCTCTGTGTCCTCAGCTGTGAAATGTAAGGGTTGGACTAGCCCTACGCACTTTTGATTCCTTTTTTTTTTTTAAGACAGAGTCTTGCTCTGTCACCCAGGCTGGAGTGCAGTGGCACGGTCTTGGCTCATTGCAACTTCCAACTCCCAGGTTCAAGCAATTCTCCTACCTCAGCCTCCCGAGTAGCTGGGACTACAGGTGCCCACCATCACGCCTGGCTAATTTTTGTATTTTTAGTACAGACAAGGTTTCATCATGTTGGCCAAGCTGGTCTTGAACTCCTGACCTCAGGCGATCTGCCTGTCTCGGCCTCCCAAAGTGCTGGGATTACAGGTGTGAGCCACCGCACCCAGCCATTTTCTGTGTTATATGTGAAATGTAGCAATATGCAAAACAGCACATACAATGTCTGGGTTTGGTTTACTAAAGACTAACGAGACGGCTGGGCGCGGTGGTTCACGCCTGTAATCCCAGCAGTCTGGGAGGCCGAGGCGGCTGGATTGCCTGAGTCCAGGAGTTTGAGACCAGCCTGGGCAACATGGCGAAACTCCATCTCTACTTTAAAAAAAATAAATAAATACAAATTTAAAAAAAGAATAAAAAGAAGAAGAATTACATTGTAAGCATGTTCCTGTGAGCTGCCCTTTTCTGGTTAAATTTATGTTTTTAGGTTCATCTTCGCTCCTGCCTGTAGCTCTAAACTGTGCACCGTCAAAGCTGCCTGGAATTCCATTGCAGGAATAAATGGCGGCTTACTCAGGGGTGGTCACGCTCCTTCCACCTGTTGGAAGAGAATCCATAGTGGAAAATCATTTCATGCTGCAACGCGACACACATACGTACATCTGCACACACACATATACCCATGCACGCTTGAAATGAGCCTCATAAAGTAATACCTGCCCTTATTAGGCGAGATAATCCTTTTCAATCCATTCTAGAAGGTGACCTACCAAACTGCACGATCCCTTCCTAGGCTGACCTGCAGCATGAATGATACGGGGCTGAGTGCACCCCATCGTGGGTCTGCCTGGGTGCGCCTGAGGTTCTGTGCCTGGCAGGCAGGCTCAGGTCATGGTCCTGCTGATCCCACCAGGCTGTCCGCACGCATTGGCGTGAGAGCGGTGTGCCTGCCGGTTCCTTTCCTTCATCTGCCGGGATTGTTGGCTTCCCCCTGTTCCGCTGGGCGTGTTCCAGCAGCGGCTCTTCCCTTGTAGTTGCTGCTTCTCATGGCCTGTGGCCTGAGGGACCAGCCCCCTAGGCATGTTAGAACTGTGTGCACTGAGGTCGGGCGCGGTGGCTCACGCCTGTAATCCCAGCACTTTGGGAGGCCGAGGCAGGCAGATCACATGAGGTCAGGAGTTCGAGACCAGCCTGGCCAACATGGTGAGACCCTGTCTCTATTAAAAATATAAAAATTAGCCGGGCGTGGTGGCGCACACCTGTAATCCCAGCTATTTGGGAGGCTGAGGCAGGAGAATTACTTGAACCCGGGAGGTGGAGGTTGCAGTGAGCTAAGGTTGCACCTTTGCACTCCAGCCTGGGCGACAGAGTGAGACTTCATCTCAAAAAAAAAAAAAAAAAAAGTAATGTGCGCTGTAGCACGACTGACTTAGTAGCAAGAGAGGGTAGTGTCTGAGACCAGACTGCCCGGGTTCCAAGCTTTGCCACTCAGCAGCTGTGTGACCTTGGGCCAGTCATCTGACCTATCTGAGCTTCGGTTTCCTCATCCGTAAAATTGAGATAATATTAGTGCCTGCCTCCTGGCGCGGTGTGAGGCTGCGGTGAGTTAACTTATCGTATGTGTGTGTGGACTGTTGTTATTACTGAGCCTGCCTGTGCGTCAGAGCCTGACATTGATCTAATTCTTTGCTGGTATCCCTGGACACAGTGGCTGTGTTGAAATGAGCTCAAAACCCTCGGCTAAAAGGAGGTTGGAGGTGGACGGAAGAGCCACTTCTCAGGCTGCCTGTATTCAGATCCCAGCCTCACCATTAAGTAACTACGTGACTATGAGCAAGTTAGTCCATCTCCCTGTGCCTCAGTTTACTCCTCTATGAAATGGGGATAGTAGTGGAACTCACTATTCACCAAGTAATTGTTAAGAGGATTACATAAGATAATGCACATAAAGCTTTTTTTTTTTCTTTTTGAGACAGAGTCTCTCTCTGTCACCCAGGCTGGAGTGCAGTGGCACGATCTCCACTCACTGCAACCTCCGCCTCCCGGGTTCAGGTGATTCTCCTGCCTCAACCTCCCAAGTAGCTGGGATTGTAGGTGTGCGCCACCACGTCTGGCTAATTTTTGTATTTTTAGTAGAGACGAGTTTTCACCACGTTGGCCAGGCTGGTCTTGAACTCCTGGCGTCAGGTGATCCTTCCACCTCGGCCTCCCGAAGTGCTGGCATTGCAGGCGTGAGCCACCACAGCATTTAGCTCTGCCGTCTACCCGGCTACCCAGCCAGGAACTCAGGAGAGGCCTTTTTTTTTTCTTCACATGAAAAGAGGTTTATTTTCTCACTGGACACTGTCGCCCATGTGAAGGGAGCAGCCACCTGGCCCCAGGTTCCCTCTCAACAAAGGCTCAGTCCTCAGAATGGCTCCTCATGAGCCCCCTGCAGCCGGAGGCCTAGGCTCTTCCCCACAGCATGTGCCCCTTAGATACCCGTCTGCCCTCTGGTGTAGGCTGGTGGGCATGGGTGTCTGAATTTGGGTCCCCACAGCACCCCCATTGAGGATCACAGTGTTGGAGTTGAACCTGGGGCCACCTGGGTACCAGGACACTGTGCTCCACGGTGAGCACCTCTCCTGTCCCTCGATGGCCAGCAGGATCTGGTCACCCACCTACCTGCCACCCTATCCTTTTTTTTTTTTTTTTTTTTGAGACGGAATTTCGCTCTTTTGCCCAGGCTGGAGTGCAATGGCGCAATCTCGGCTCACTGCAACCTCCGCCTCCTGGATTTTCCTGCCTCAGCCTCCCGAGTAGCTGGGATTACAGGCACCTGCCACCATGCCTGGCTAATTTTTGTAGTTTTAGTAGAGACAGGGTTTTACTATGTTGGTTAGGCTGGTCTCAAACTCCTGACCTTGTGATCTGCCCGCCTCGGCCTCCCAAAGTGCTGGGATTGCAGGTGTGAGCCACTGCGGCCGGCCTAGATGTCTTTTTATCGTTGAGTTGTAAGATTTTTAAAATATAGTCTAGATATGTTTTCTTCCCCTCTGCACATTGTCTTTTCACTTTCTTGATGGGGTCCTTTGAAGCAAAGAAGTGTTCATTGATGACGTGCGGTTCCCCCGTGCTCTCTGTTGCTTGTGCTTCTGGTGTCGTATGTAAGAATCCTTTGCCAAGTCCAAGACCATGAAGATCTACCCCCAGGTTTTCTTCTACATGTTGTTTAGCTTTAGCTGTTACATTTAGGTCTTTGATCCATTTAGAGTTATTTTTTGAATATGGTAGAAAGTAAAAGTTCAACTTTTACATGTGGCAATCTGGTTGTCCCAGCACCATTTGGTGAAAAGATTCTTCTTTCCCCATGAAGGGTCTTGGTGCCCTTGTTGACAATCCGTCGACCATAGATATGTGGGTTCCTTTCTGGACTCACTCAACGTGACTCCGTGGATCTGTGTGTCTGGAAAGATGCCCCCAGCCTGACAGTTTACCTTCTTTGCCCATCTGCTCCAGTCATCCTGGAGGCTCCCATAGTACACATTGCTGGGACATCCCAGAGCTGAACACCATCTCTCAAGTGGCCTCAGAGCTAATCACTTCCCACAGGCATCGAGGCGACCACAGAGAGGGCCCAGTGTGACTGGCTGGCCCCCAGGGCGCCCGGGAAGGGATCTGCAGATCCCTCCTCCTGGCACAGCGTCCTGGCAGGAGGCACGGTCCCAGAGCAGGCCCTGTTTGTGCTGAGGCCCCGCCAGGATTGGGTGGATGCCTTGGTGAGGGCCAGGTAGGAGGGAACAAATGCAGGGTGGGAAGTGGCTGCTGGAATGGGGAAGGGAGCGGGGCCTGCAGGAGGGAAGCATTCTTGGCACTAGTGGCATCGTCACCAGGACACCGGCCTTGGGAGGGCGAGCACTACATCCATGGGTAGGCGCCGGAGCCCTGAGGACACGGCATTGCCAAGCTCTTGTCCTGTGGCTTCCTTCCCTGTGTCCGCAGTGTGTGGGGGGTGGGCGGGCAGGCAGGACGAGGTGACCCCCATCCTTTCTGTGTGCTCGTTCCATGAAATTGGGGGATGTGGATGCTTGAACGGGCTCTCAGCTAGTGTGCCTTCCGTGCAGAGGAGGTAACACTCCCCAGGGCAGCCAGACACCCTTGTGGAGTGGGATGGAAAGCTGGGAGGAAGGGGCTGGCCGGCACCATGGAGATATTTTGGTTTGCAGGAGGATTCTGGGCTTTATGAGCACTTTAATGCAACCAGGGCAGGCAGCACCACGGGACGGGAACTGTAAGCTGCACCTGTTGAATTCTGAAGGTCCGGGCTGCCCGTGGGCCCCGGGAAGTGGGGGTGCCCAGCTTGTGGGGTGCAGGCGGGGAGGGGACCGTGTGGTGGTGGAGACGCCATGGTACAGCCTGTCTCCCGATCCCCCAGGTCCCCTGAGGCCTTAGAGATGAATCTCCCAGAAGTGGCAGCCGCGGCAGGGACACCAGGATCATGAAGGACCTGGGAGGTGAACCCGCTGCTCAGTTCCTGGCCCTCGTCCCTTAGACCCAGTCCTCGGAGCAGAACTGGGGGAAGCTGAGATTTCTGTGGGCTGCGTGCCCACCTCCTCCCTCTTCGTTGGTCCTCCCACGCGCCCGCCCCCGAGTGGGAGCAGAGCCATGTGAGCTGAGTTGGAGCTGCTCGCTGCCGAGAATTGCATCAGCCCCGCCTGGCAGGCTGGAGCGGGAGCCTGTTGCTATGGTGACCACCAGGCTTCAAACCAGTGAGAAGGATGAGATGGTTGCCGGGCGAGGTTTTCTCACCATGTGATGCGTGTGACAGGCTGACAGGTTCGGTAGACCTGGACCCAGCCCTCCCGTAGGTGTGCCTGGACCCCCAGCCCTCCCGCAGGTGTGCCTGGACCCCCAGCCCTCCCGCAGGTGTGCCTGGACCCCCAGCCCTCCCGTAGGTGTGCCTGGACCCCCAGCCCTCCCGCAGGTGTGCCTGGACCCCCAGCCCTCCCGCAGGTGTGCCTGGGTCCCCAGCCCTCCCGTAGGTGTGCCTGGACCCCCAGCCCTCCCGCAGGTGTGCCTGGGTCCCCAGCCCTCCCGCAGGTGTGCCTGGACCCCCAGCCCTCCCGCAGGTGTGCCTGGGTCCCCAGCCCTCCCCGCAGGTGTGCCTGGACCCCCAGCCCTCCCGTAGGTGTGCCTGGACCCCCAGCCCTCCCGCAGGTGTGCCTGGACCCCCAGCCCTCCCGCAGGTGTGCCTGGACCCCCAGCCCTCCCGCAGGTGTGCCTGGATCCCCAGCCCTCCCGCAGGTGTGCCATCTGCTGGGGGGCATGATGGGCACTGTCCCAAAAGCCATCTGGGCATTGGCCAGGCTGGGGGGTATGACTGAGGGACACAGGGGGCCACGCCAGGCCCATGTAGTGTCAGGGGGCCTTCCTTGGTCCTTCTGCCTAGTTGTGGGGGAAGGGGTATGGTGGGGATTTGACCAAGTGCACCTGATGATGGGGCAAGAAAGGGGTCCAGACTGGTCCCCATCTCCCAGAACAGAGGGCGGCTCTGGATCACAGCTGATTAAACCTGCCCAGGCTGTGTCAAAAATTTTTTTTTTAACGGAGTTTCACTCTTGTTGCTCAGGCTGGAGTGCAATGGTGCAATCTCGGCTCATTGGTTCAGGCGATTCTCCTGCCTCAGCCCAAGTAGCTGGGACTACAGGCGTGCACCACCATGCCTGGCTAATTTTGTATTGTCAGTAGAGACAGGTTTCACTGTGTTGGCCAGGCTGGTCTCAAACTCCTGACCTCATGTGATCCACCCACCTTGGCCTCCCAAAGTGCTGGGATTACAGGCATGACCCACCGCGCCCGGCCTGTGTCAGAATTTTTTTTGTTAACCACGTGACAAAGCTCATCATCTTGCTAAAGATAACAGAGCGCTTGGCCAAGCCAGTGCAATGCCTGGGTTCAGATCTCCTCTCTCATCTTTTGCCTACAACGGGAAAGGAGGTAAAAAGTCTGTGTTCCAGGTGTGCTGAGCACTTGTTGTGTGCCGGGAGTTGTAGTAGACACTGTCCTGTCTTTTTTTTTTTTTGAGACAGAGTTTCACTCTTGTTCTCCAGGCTGGAGTGCAGTGGCGCGATCTCGGCTCACTGTAACTTCCACCTCCTGGACTCAAGTGATTCTTCTGCTTCAGCCTCCCGAGTAGCTGAGATTACAGGCACGCACCACCACGCCCGGCTAATTTTTTGTATTTTTAGTAGAGATGGGGTTTCCCCATGTTGACCAGGCTGGTCTCAAACTCCTGACCTCAGGTGATCCACCCACCTCAGCCTCCCAAAGTGCTGGGATTACAGGCATCAGCCACCAGCCCAGCCTGTCCTGTCTTTTTTTTTTTTTTTTTGAGACAGAGTCTCGCTCTGTAGCCCAGGCTGGAGCGCAGTGGCGCGATCTCGGCTCACTGCAAGCTCTAGGTTCACGCCATTCTCCTGCCTCAGCCTCCCGAGTAGATGGGACTACAGGCACCTGCCACCACACCTAGCTAACTTTTTTGTATTTTTAGTAGAGACGGGGTTTCCCCGTGTTAACCAGGATGGTCTCGATTTCCTGACCTCGTGATCCACCTGCTTTGGCCTCCCAAAGTGCTGGGACTACAGGTGCTCACCACCACGCCTGGCTAACTTTTTTGTATTTTTAGTAGAGGCGGGGTTTCCCCGTGTTAGCCAGGATGGTCTCGATCTCCTGACCTCGTGATCCACCTGCTTCGGCCTCTCAAAGTGCTGGGACTACAGGCGCTCATCACCACGCCCGGCTAACTTTTTTGTATTTTTAGTAGAGACGGAGTTTCCTCGTGTTAGCCGGGATGGATGTCCTGTCTTTCTATTGTATCCTCTCCCTCACTTGGGGAGGAGGCAGTGATGTTCCTGTTTTGCAGAAGAGCCGGATCGGGCAGCCAGAGAGTTGAAGTGACCTGCCCAAAAAGGGTTCAACCTAAATCCTTGGGCTTCCTGTCCAGGGCTCTGTAGGATGTCAGCCATCCCCAGAATCAGGCATTCTCAGGATGTCCTGTGAAGAAACACACTTCTCCATCCCCTGCTGGAAAAACCATGACAATCTCTCCGCAGGGAAGAACGCGGCTTTGAGGTGGGGAGTGGCTGACCGAGGCCCTTTGTGGTTTCTAAATGGCAGAATGAGAGAGGTGGGGGCGTTGAGGGTGTCACGCCCAGGAAGCAGTTGGGGAGGGCAGGGCTGGACACTGACCAAGCCTAGCCTGGGTGCAGGAACTGAGCTTGGGATTTTTGCTTGGGGCCCTCTAGGGATTAGGATGAATTGTCAGATGAGTTCTCAGCAGACAGGGCTTTAGGGAACTGGTCCAGGGAAATAAGACGTAGAGCCAGAGGGGAACCAGGGCCTCTGTGAGAGCCTGGCAGTCATGAGATCTGACTTGCTGAGCTTCTGAGGTGTGGTAATAGGAACTAATCCTCTCTTCGGTGTGCTTTAGATGTTTACTCGTTTCATCCTCACAGAAACCCTGTGAACTTGGGTGCTACTGTTACTCCATGTTGAAGGTAAAACAGAGGCACAGAGAGGTTATGTGACTTGCCCAAGGTCACACAGCTGGTAAGGGGTGGAGCCTGTGATTCAGACCCAGTCAGTCTGGCTGCAGAGCATGAGCTCTGAATCAAATGTTCTCCTGCCTCCATTCTTACCTTTTAGAAAGATGACAGCAAGTTGCATACGTGACCTCCTCACCCCCAGGAGTGTGTGTGTGCACATGTGTATATATATGCACACATACGCGCACCAGTAGCTCAGCAAGGGAGGGAGGCTCAGGAATGGGCTCGTGGGCCTCTGTGTGTTGATGGCTGGGTTTGCAGAACCTAGGGAGTCCGGCGTCTGTGTGCGTGATGCTCCTCCCTTCGTCCCTCCCTGCTCGCGTGGTTCCCAGTGGGTGGGGTGCCCTGTTGCCTCTGGTTTAGAGCCGTGCAGGATGTTACCACAGACCGTGTACCAGGAGTGTTCACCCAAACTTGTGAAGGGCCCTGGACTCCCAGGAAGGAGCTCAGATCTAGGACTGGGAGTGGACGGCGGCCGCCGGAGGAGTGAGAGGGGGCAGTGCGCTTGCCATGCCCGGGGCCCGTCCTCCTGGGCCTCTCTCGGCGCTTGGGCAACCTGTGTATTGCCCACACGTGTGCCGCTGCTTGCAGCTCCTGGCCACCACCCTCCTCTTTGTGTCTGGACGAATCTGACTGCTCTGAGCACCTCTTCAGAGTGGAATCATACAGGACAGTGTCTACCGCAACTCCCAGCACACAGCAAGTGCTCAGCACACCCGGAACACAGACTTCTTACCTCCTTTCCCATTGTGGGCAAAAGATGAGAGAGGAGATCTGAGTGCAGACATCGCGCTGGCTTGGCCAAGTGCTCTGTTATCTTTAGCAAGATGAAGAGCTTTGTCAGGTGGGTAACAAAAAAAATTCTGACACAGGCCGGGCGCGGTGGCTCACGTCTGTAATCTCAGCGCTTTGAGAAGTGTGTCAGCCCTTGAGAAGACACCGGGCAAGCTGGCCTTCCTCTCGGTGTCTCTCCCAGGCCGGGACTATGGGGAGAAATCATAACAACAGGGACAACAGCAGTGACAACGTCAGTGACGACAATAACAGCCACTAACGTTATACCACGTGCCAGGCCCTGTTCTTAGAACTTCGCCTGGACTAACTCATTCAACTGTCACAAAAGCTGCATGGGATGATGTTGTTATGTTATTATCTTCATTTGACAAATGAGGACACTAAAGCACAGAGAGATGAAGCAACTTGCCCCAGGACACACAGCTAAAACTGGGAGTGGAATTCGGAGAGCCTGGCTCCTGGCATTTGGAGCTGACAGGTGCCCGGCAACCCCTACCTATGGCCGAGCTGAGCTCGTCTTGTGCCAGGGAGTTGGCGGCAAAACAGAAATGAGCTCTGGGCCGGGCACAGTGCCTCACGCCTGTAACCCCAGCACTTTGAGAGGCTAAGGTGGGTAGATCACCTGAGGTCAGGAGTTCGAGACCAGCTGGCCAACATGGTGAAACCCCATCTCTACTAAAAATACAAAAATTAGCTGGGTGTGGTGGTGCATGCCTGTAATCCCACCTACTCGGGAGGCTGAGACAGGAGAATCTCTTGAACCCGGGAGGTGGAAGTTGCTGAGATCACACCACCGCACTCCAGCCTGGGTGACAGAGTGAGATTCTGTCTCAAAAAAAAAAAAAAAAACTAAAACCAGAAATGAATTCTGGAGGTGGGATCTTCCTTTGTAATTCAGAAGGTGACTCCCAACCCCTCTTCAGAAGCTGGGTGGGCTCCAGGCCTGGTTCAGCCCCCTGGCCTCCTGTCGATACCCATGGGGGGGTCTCTGTCCCTGGTATTACTCCTTTCCTGTCTACTTTTTTTTTAAATTTAGATTTTATTCTATTTTTTTAAATTATGGCAAAATAGGCCGGGCGCTAGGTAGCTCACGCCTGTAATCCCAGCACTTTGGGAGGCCGAGGTGGGTGGACCACGAGGTCAGGAGATCGAGACCATCCCGGCTAACACGGTGAAACCCCGTCTCTACTAAAAATACAAAAAAATTTAGCCAGGCATGGTGGCAGGCACCTGTCGTCCCAGCTACTTGGGAGGCTGAGGCAGGAGAATGGCGTGAACCCAGGAGGCGGAGCTTGCAGTGAGCCGAGATGGCGCCACTGCACTCCAGCCTGGGTGACAGAGTGAGACTCTGTCTCAAAAAAAACAAAAACAAAAACAAAAAACAAAAGAAAATCATGGCAAAATACACATGCCTAAAATTTTCCATCCAGTGTACGCATCAGTGGCCCGAGGCACGTTCACACTCTGGTGCGGCCATCAGCACCGTCATCTCCGGAACTCTCACCTGGCTAAACTGAGACTCCGCATCTGTGAAACCAGCGCACCAGGGACCGGCTTCGTGGAAGACACTTTTTCCACGGACCGGGGAAGGGTGGGGAGCGCTTTCGGGATGGAACTGCGATCCCTCGCACGCGCAGATCACGACAGGGCTCACGCTCCTACGAGAACCTAATGCCGCTGCTGCTCGGATGGGAAGTGGGGTTCAGGGGGTGACGCTTGCTCACCCACCACTCACCTCCGGCTGTGCATCCTGGTTCCCAACAGGCCACGGACTGGTGCCGGTCCATGCCCGGGGGGGCTGGGGACCCCTGTATTGAACAACAGCTCCCCGTTTCTCCAGCCCCCAGCTCCTGGCCACCACCCTCCTACTTTCTGACTTGATGAATCTAACTGCTCTAAGCACCTCATCCGAGTGGAATCATGTGGTATTTGCCTTTCTGTGACCAGCTTCTTTCACGTAGCCTAATGCCCCCAAGGTTCATCGATGTCAGAATTGGCCTGTGTCGGAATATAAGCCGAATAATATCCGTTTTATGTAAAGGCCGCGTTTTGTGTATCCATTCATCCACCCATAGACACTTGAGGTGTTTCTGTTTTTTGGCAAGTGTCAATAATGCTCTTAGGAATGCGGGTATTTCCCCGACAACCTTTGGGCTTACTTCACTCATCAGCAGCAAGCAGGCCATCCTTGAAGCTTACCGTGGGGTGGGCCCATTGACCAGCCTGGGGAGAGTGGGTGGGTCATTGACCAGCCTGGGGCCATCATGCTGGCTGGGAAGGCGTGGCCCTCAGGTGCCAGCTTCTACCCAACACTAAGCCGTTGGTGCTCCTGGCACTTACTTACTTGCTGGAAGACATTCCACCTTGCTTTCCCGTCTTTCCCCAGAAGAGGGTGCTGGGTTTCTGCTTCTCTCCTGAATGGGAAAAGGGCGGCTGCAGCTTGCCATGAGGCTGGCGTGGGTGGGGTTAGGAGAAAGGACTGTCAGGTGCTGTGTTGGGAAGTGTGTGTGGAGCTTCCGTGAGGCTGGGGTTGGCCTTCTGAGCATACATGGAAGGGCTGAGTGGGAGCAGGGTGTTAGGGTAGCCGGTCATGCCGTAGAACCAAATTAATGCTGAAGGCCGGGCGTGGTAGCTCACACTAATCCCGGCACTTTGGGAGGCTGAGGCGGGTGGGTCACCTGAGGTCAGGAGTTTGAGACCAGCCTGGCCAACATTGGGAAATCCCATCTCTACTAAAAATATAAAAATTAGCTGAGTGTGGTAGTGGGTGACTGTAATCCCAGCTACTCAGGAGGCTGAGGCAGGAGACTCACTTGAACTCAGGAGGCAGAGGTTGCAGTGAGCCAAGATTGTGCCACTGCACTCCAGGCTGGGCGACAGAGTGAGACTCTGTGTCAAAAAAAAAAAAAACAACCAAAACCCCCCACAAATTACTGCTGAAATCCTCATCACTTAACACAAGCAAGCTGCTGCTTGCTCACAGTGGTCCTGGTAGACGGGGGGCTCTGCTCCCCGTGGTCATGCCGGGACCCAGCCTGATGGAGACTGCACCATTTGGAATATGTGGCCTCCAAGGGTCACAGAGGGAGGAGAAAGGGAGAAAGAGCTGTGTGTAATTTTTCACTGTTCAGCCGTGAAATGATACTTGTCATGTCCACTTACAGTTTGTTAGCCAGGACTGAGCACCTGGCCCTGCCCAGGGACTGCCAAGTGGCCAGACAGTACGGCCTTCCATGTGCCCAGAAAGACAGGAGGATGGGGATATTGCTGGGCACTGGTCGTGTTGACCACATAGTGGCAGGTGGCTTATGTGAAGGATGAAGGCCCTTGAGCCTGCTCTGTGGCCAGGGCAGTGGTGTCATGGTGGCAGTGGTGGCAGTGGCGGCAGTGGTGTCATGTAGCAATGGTGGCAGTGGTGGCAGTGGTGGCCTGGTGGCAGTGGTGTCGTGTGGCAGTGGTGGCCTGGTGGCAGTGGTGGCATGGTGGCAGTGGTGGCCTGGTGGCAGTGGTGTCATGTGGCAGTGGTGGCAGTGGTGTCGTGTGGCAATGGTGGCAGTAGTGGCAGTGGTGGCATGGTGGCAGTGGTGTCGTGTGGCAGTGGTGGCCTGGTGGCAGTGGTGGCATGTGGCAGTGGTGGCATGTGGCAGTGGTGGCAGTGGTGTCATGTGGCAGTGGTGGCATGGTGGCAGGTGTCTGGGCACTGAAGGGACTTGGGTGTAACTGACTTCTAGGGGAAGTGGCAGAATCATGGTCATCTTCATGTGCCCCGCACTGTGCTGAGCTGTTTACAGACGTCATCTCATGGAATCCCCACAACAATCCTATCATTCCGTTTCACCTTTGGGGAAGCCAGAGCTCAGGACCACAGCCTCCAAGTGATGGCTGTGCTTGCTGGTAGGAGGGTGCTTATGGCAGCAGAGAGGCCGGGGGCTGAATGGAGTGTGGGGGCCAGAGGTGGTGGGGCCACAAGGATGTGATGTGTGTGTGTGTGTGTGTGTGTGTGTGTGTGTGTGTCTCCATGTGCCTGCGTGGATAGAAACAAGCAGAGACAAGCTGGCTGGGCTTTTGCCCTTCCCCAGCTCCGCGCACACCTAGCTTTGCACCACTCTGGAGGAATGGTGACGTCGAATGTCCAAGGAAGAGGCTAACCTGGGCACGTCCTCTTACCTGCCCTCCTTGAATGACACAAGACATTGGAAGTGGAAGTCACAGTCACCGGTGCTCTGGAGCTGGGAGTGGGGAGAAGGAGGTGACTTTTGAGGCACTCTGTGACAGCCCAGTTCAACAGTAGAATTATGTTTAAGGCCCAGGAAGGCTCTGGGTGGAGAGCCAGCATTTTGAGCCGAAGGCCAGTGAACGTGGCCACCCAGCAGCACTGGGCAGAGGTGCGGCTGCTTCTGCAGGTGTATGTGTGAAGGGGTGCAAGTGGACGCCTTGGGCGACTTCTGCGGACAGGGGCAGGAGCCCGGAGCTGCGTGGCTCTGGGATTGAAGGGCACCCTGGGGTGGAAGGCAGGGGTCGTGCATCCTGGTCCTGGCTGCTGCCACCCTGCAGGGCTGCTTTGAGAGTCTTGCTGGCCTCTCTGGACCTGGCATTACTTGTCTGTTCTCTGAATTGCCTCTTCCTACTTCTCAGCACTAGATTGTCATTTAATTTTTCATAAATACCCTAAGGACTTACAAAGCCATAGATGGGAGGGGGGCTCCGAGGAGGCCATCCCAGGCAGGTGGTGAGCACCGTTGGATTGAAAGGTCCTCCCAGGTCATCGCCTCCTGGCCACCCGCCTTCTGCAGCTCTGGGGCTGAGTGGCATTTCCCACAGGGAAAGACAGGAGGAAGAGCAGAGCCTTAAATCAAATCAGCCCAGGATTATTACTTGTTATCAATTCTTGAGGAGGTTCGGAGGGGAAGCAGGAAGTAGGCTGAAGCTGTTAACTCTAATAAGGGTTAGAACTCCTATGGGATTTGTCAGAAGGACTTCCTGGCCCCCAGACCCTAAATAATTGAATTGGTTGTTATGGGAAGAGATGAGGAGGATTATTAGGAGATCGTATCACTCAGCCAGCAGTTACTGAGCATTGGCTCTGCGTGAGTCCTGTCCTGGGCGCCACAAATAACAGGCAGTGAGCAGAAGAGGGCCACCACCTCGCGGGGAAGACAGAATATACCGATAACCCAAACGAACTCAGACTTGCTTTCTTTGTAGAGGATTTATTTTCTTTCTTTTTTTCCTTTATTTTTATTTATTTATTTTTTTTGAGACAGAGTCTCACTCTGTCACCCAGGCTGGAGTGCCGTGGCACCATCTGGCCTACTGCAACCTCCACCTCCTGGGTTCAAGTGATTCTCCTGCCACAGCCTCCCGAGTAGCTGGAATTACAGGGGCCCGCCACACACCCAGCTAATTTTTGTATTTTTAGCAGAGATAGGGTTTCACCATGTTGGTCTCAAACTCCTGACCTCAGGTGATCTGCCCGCCCCGGCCTCCCAAAGTGCTGGGATTACAGGCAGAAGCCACTGCACCCAGCCCTAATTTTTGTATTTTTAGTAGAGACGGGGCTTCACCATGTTGACCAGGCTGGTCTCGAACTCCTGACCTCAGGTGATCCACCCACCTCAGCCTCCCAAAGTGCTGGGATTGCAGGCGTGAGCCACTGAGCCTGGCCCCTGCCCCTTTTTTTTTTTTTGCCTGATTGACTGAACGCGTTATTGTTTGTGAAATGCTCTTTTTATCTGGTATCTCTTGTCACTCCACAGGGGCAGCCCTGTGAACTGCGCAGGGCAGCTGTGTCTTGCCCATTTTACAGATAAGGAAGTGGCGGCACCTAGAGATTAGGTCTGGACGCGGGACCCAGATCTGCCTCCTGGCCCCATGCCCACCTCGTTGAATCCCGTTGCCTTTCCATGGGCGACTCGTAACGGAGCTGGGGGTGCTGGAGTCTGTGCCCGCCCCTGCATCTGGTGTGTGATAGCTTAGGAGATGTTTGTTGAGTGGCTGTTGCTTGCGTACACATGCCGTCAGCTTTCGTCGTATCATGGCAAGGTTATACGGCCCGTCTGCAATATGATTCCTCTATGTTCGGTGGGCACATAACTGTCTTTCCTACAGAGAGATGAGGAATTTTAGTTCCCTCTGCCAAGGTGGGGGGATTTTGTCAAATCGCAGGAAACAATGGCCTTGGTGCAAAGAGTAGCTTTAATCTGTGGCTCAGCTGTTTCTCAGCCAGGTGGCCTTGGATGAGACTCAGAAGCCTCAGTTTTCCCCCGTGTCAAAGGGGGCCATTCATAGCTACTTTGACAACCTCCCTGGGCTGTGGGGATGAAATGAGATCCTGGCCGTGGGCTCACCGTGTAAAACACTGCGCAGATAATACTCAGCATGTCCCATCCATCCCCAAGAGCTGGAGACTGGTGAAGCCACATGCGCTTCTCTGCCCAGGGCTGCTGGCCACCCTGACACCCTGGGCCTCAGCCTCTGCCCTTGATGTCCAAGAACTATGATTCCTTTGTCTCAGGCTGTGGAGCCCTGAGCTTCTCCAGGCGGCCACTTCTCCAGGCGGCTACGGTCTCTGCCTCCCTCTTCCAAGGATCTTGGAGGTGGATGATTGGATTTCATCTCCATGGCAACCAGAGAGGCCATAACACCCGCCCATGGTGGGGCCTCGAGTCTGTTCCCAGCAGTGGAGGCAGAGCCGGAGCAAACAACTCCTGCAACAGCAGCTGTCCCCCAGGAATGAGCTGTCCCCCAGGAGCGAGCTGTCCCCCAGGAGCGAGCTGCCCCCCAGGAGCGAGCTGCCCCCCAGGAATGAGCTGCCCCCCAGGAGCGAGCTGTCCCCCAGGAATGAGCTGTCCCCCAGGAGCGAGCTGCCCCCCAGGAGCGAGCTGTCCCCCAGGAATGAGCTGTCCCCCAGGAGCGAGCTGCCCCCCAGGAGTGAGCTGTCCCCCAGGAATGAGCTGTCCCCCAGGAGCGAGCTGCCCCCCAGGAGCGAGCTGTCCCCCAGGAGCGAGCTGTCCCCCAGGAATGAGCTGTCCCCCAGGAGCGAGCTGCCCCCCAGGAGCGAGCTGTCCCCCAGGAATGAGCTGTCCCCCAGGAGCGAGCTGCCCCCCAGGAGCGAGCTGTCCCCCAGGAATGAGCTGTCCCCCAGGAGCGAGCTGCCCCCCAGGAGCGAGCTGTCCCCCAGGAATGAGCTGTCCCCCAGGAGCGAGCTGCCCCCCAGGAGCGAGCTGCCCCCCAGGAATGAGCTGTCCCCCAGGAGCGAGCTGTCCCCAGGAATGAGCTGTCCCCCAGGAGCGAGCTGTCCCCCAGGAGTGAGCTTCCTCCCAGGAGTGAGCTGCCCCACAGCCTCTGCCCGGCCTCCAGTTGCCGCTTTGCTGGGCTAATGAGGGGCTCCAGGCCTCGGGGTGAGGGTGGCGCTGTCTGTGCTCCCAGTGGCTGCTACAGGCCAGGCCGAGGGTCCTGAGTGAATGAGACAGGGGCCGACCCCCACCCACCCCTGCCTGTCTGTGGTTCACAATCAGAGCAAAGCCCTTTCCGTCCGTCTTGTCTTCTCTTCCCCAGCGAATCCCACAGTCCCCAAGACTGAGGACAAGCCCTGCCTCTTCCGGGCAGCCTTCCCTGTGCTGGCTGAATTGATCACGCGCCTGGCTGATGGCTTCATAGGCTGCTTCAGAGTATTTTTTTTTTTTTTTTGAGATGGAGTTTCGCTCTTATCGCCCAGGCTGGAGTGCAATGGTGTGATCTCAGCTCACTGCAACATCCGCCTCCCGGGTTCAAGCGATTCTCCTGCCTCAGCCCCCCGAGTAGCTGGGATTACAGACATCTGTCACCATACCCGGCTAATTTTTATATTTTTAGTAGAGACGGGGTTTCTCTATGTTGGCCAGGCTGGTCTCGAACTCTCGACTTCAGGTGATCCGCCTGCCTCGGCCTCCCAAAGTGCTGGGATGACAGGCGTGAGCCACTGTGCCCAGCAAGAGTCTTAGTTCCATTTGGTTGTAAAGACGCTCACTTCAGTGTCCCTGTCTGAACCTGGCGGCTCTTGGCCTTCCTATACATTAGAGTCACCTGGGGAGCTTTTAACAGGCCTGATGCCCAGGCCATTCCATACCAATTCAGTAGCAATCCCTGGGGTAGGAGCCAGAGAGCTTCCCAACTCCCCAGGGATTCCAGTGTGCAGTGAAGATTGGAACAGTTATCTTAGGATTCAAGTCATGAACTGGCCGGGCGCAGTGGCTCACACCTGTAATCCCAGCACTTTGGGAGGCCGAGGCAGGTGGATCACCTGAGGTCAGGAGTTTGAGACCATCCTGGCTAACATGGTGAAACCCTACCTCTACTAAAAATACAAAATTATCCGGGCGTGGTGGCGGGCACCTGTAATCCCAGCTACTCAGGAGACTGAGGCAGGAGAATTGCTTGAACCGGGGAGGTGGAGGTTGCAGTGAGCCAAGATTGTGCCATTGTACTCTAGCGTGGGAGACAGAGCAAGACTCTGTCTCCAAAAAAAAAAAGAATTTAAGTCGTAACTAGTCCACCAGCCTGTGCTGAATGGAGGCTGACTGATGAACAGCAGAGTTAGCTGACAAAGCTTGCTGTAGTCTTAACTCACTGCAAATTGCCAAAGCCCTGGTTTGTTTTTTAAGGGCTGGGAGGTCCCTAAGGGTTCTTGGTACTCAGGAAGGAGAGCAGGGGAATAATGATAATAGCTGCCGTTTTGTTAGCGCCAGCTTTGGGTGCCTTGCATAGCATATATTTCCTCATTGTAACCTCGCAAAAGCTTCATGAGGTATAGATCTTGTTTTTATCCTCATTTTAGAGATGAGAAAACTGAGGCTCTGAATGGCTAAGTAGCTTGCCCAAGGTCACATGGCTAAGGTCACATTCCCGAAGTGCTAATCTCAGGAATGGAACCCGAGTGTGATTCCAAAGCCTCTGCCCTTGACCACTGAGCTGTCCTGGCTCCCCAACCTCTGCTCCATCAATCAAAGAATGGGGGGCCCTGAGAAGGAGGTGGCTTGTCCCGTGGGAAAGATGCTGGTTTCCAGGATTCCTCCCCTTGGAGCCAGGCCCTGACTGAGGGGCTCCCGATGGTATTAAATATCTCCTGGATCAGCTGGGGTCACCTGGACCCTGAAGGTGTCTACTTTCCCGTTGCCTACGACACCCACTCGGCTTCAGCTGAGCTTTCCCAAGGACCCTTCTGCCCTGATACTGTGCCCAGTTCTTTAACCTACATCATGTTATTTAATGTCATTTTCACAACCACCCTGTGACATGGTATCGTTATCCTCATCTTGTTTCTTTGAGACAGTCTCACTCTGTCACCCAGGCTGGAGTGCTGTGGTGCGATCTCAGCTCACTGCAACCTCTGCCTCCCAGTGCAATAGAAGACTGGCCGGGCGCGGTGGCTCACACTTGTCATCTCAGCACTTTGGGAAGCCGAGGTGGGCGGATCACTTGAGGTCAGGAGTTCGAGACCAGCCTGGCCAACATGGTGAAACCCCATCTCTACTAAAAATACAAAAATTAGCCGGGCATGGTGGCGGGTGCCTGTGATCCCAGCTACTTGGGAGGCTGAGACAGGAGAATTGCTTGAACCTGGGAGGCGGAGGTTGCAGTGAGCTGAGATCCCACCACTGCACTCCAGCCTGGGTGACAGATTGAGACTTCGTCTCCAAAAATAAATAAATCAATAAAATAAAGTGCAGTAGAAGACAGTGTCCTTATTGTTGTAGGTGAGGTGGTAGATTTTGTATCTGAGCCACCATCCCTGCTGAAATTGCCCCGGACAGGCTGATCTGGTACAGGTGGCACCTGGGAAGTGGCAGCCTCGCTTCCGCTGGCCAGTTCCCTGGTTCAGGGTTGCCGGCCTCCCAGATCCACACCTGTGGTCCAGACTCTGCTGTCTGGCTGCCCGTTGGATCTTCTGACAGGGATGGCCATGAGTCTTCTCAGTCCAGACATGTCTCCACCTGGACTTAGGGTCTGTTCCCCCGGAACCAGCTCCCCCTTCCTGTCCATCGCTCAGCCCTCCAAGCCCAGAGGACCCTGCTGTGGCCGCATTTTCAGTCAACTCTCCCATCGCCAGACTTTGCCCTTGGTTCCCACCATGGTCACCTTTGACAAAGCACGGAGGGGCGGTTTGCCCCGTTCCACATCATCTCATGCACCACAGTCAGCTTCGTTTTCCTGAAGTCACCTCTGAAATCACCTTGCCATTTTGGCATCCGTGGCTCCCAGCGTGCGTGAAATCTGACTATTCAGGATAGTGTTCCAGGCCCTCTGCAGTCTGACCCCTCCAGAGCTCGGCTTCAGTGGTACCAGTCTGTTCATCAGGGCCAACCTCCTGCGTCCTGCCCCCATTCTGCACGCTGATACCCTGCCGCAAATGGACCTTTTCCTTCCTCACGCTCTGTGACTGGTTGTTTCTTCCATATGAACCCCTCAGGGCAGCCCACACACTTCGTGTTTGGTATTTGTATGAGTCCTACATATGATAACATTTTAAGAGCAAAGGTTGTGGAGTTGGATGACCTGTGTCCATCTGGTTTCCCACCTGACTGCCGTGAAATCTTGGGCGAGTAACTTAACTCCCTGCGCTTTCATTTCCTCCATTGTAAATGAGTCATAATGGTACGGAGGCAGAAATTTAAAAACAAATATGTATGTATTTACTCCAAGAAAAGTAACAGGCAAGGCAAGGGTTAAAAAGAAAAAAAAAACAGGCCGGGCACGGTGGCTCACGCCTGTAATCCCAGCATTTTGGGAGGCCGAGGCGGGTGGATCACGAGGTCAGGAGATGGAGACCATCTTGGCTAACACGGTGAAACCCTGTCTCTACTAAAAATACAAAAAAATTAGCCGGGCATGATGGCAGGCACCTGTAGTCCCAGCTACTCGGGAGGCTGAGGCAGGAGAATGGCTTGAACCCGGGAGGCGGAGCTTGCAGTGAGCCGAGATGGCGCCACTGCACTCCAGCCTGGGCGACAGAGCGAGACTCCATCTCAAAAAACAAAAAACAAAGGAACAAAAAAAACCTCTTTTTTTTTCTGCCTAGCAAGCTCACTTTAAGGAGTTATAAGATAACGCTGTTTAAGAAGCCAAGGCTAAAGAAATGGGCTCCACACACCCGCCTTTTAGAGCAAGGTTGAAGGAAAAAAGAAAGAGAAATTCCTTTACTGTTACTCCTTTCCCTGGCTTCCTAAGCATAACTGTGTTTACAAATGTCTGGATTTAGCCAGTCCTTGTTTTTCTTTTGACACAGCTACAAGCCACAAGTTATGCACTATATGATTAACTGCTTTTGTTTTACTTTTGTGAAGTCTGCTTATAAAAACCCCATTCTGTCTTTATTCAATGCTAAGCTTTTTAAATGCAAATCCACTGAGCTAGTGCATACCTAAAATAAACAGTCCTTCCCTTCTCCATATCGGTCTCTCCGGTCCTCAGTTTCCTGCAACAGTACAACTTAGATTTTAAATTTTTAAGAAGTTTTTCAGGCAGAGTGTGGTGGCTCATGCCTATAATCCCAGCACTTTGGGAGGCCAAAGTGGAGGACTCTTTGAGGCCAGGAGTTCAAGACCAGCCCGGCCCACATAGCAAGACCCTGTGTCTACAAAAACTTTTTCGAATCAGCCAGGCATGGTTGTGCATGCCTGTGGTCTCAGCTACTTGGGAGGCTGAGGCAGGGGGATCATCTGAGCCCAGGAGTTTGAGGCTGCAATGAGCTATGTTTGTGCCACTGCACTCCAGCCTGGGCAACAGAGCGAGACTCTGTCTCTAAAAAAAACAAAAAACAAAAATCAAAAAACAAAAAAAAGCTTTTCAAGTGCACCAGTCTTAAGCATAGAGCTTGGTGAATATTTCCATATGTCTGCTTGTGTAACTAACACCCAGATCAAGATATGGAACATCTTCAGTGTCCTGGAAAGTTGCTTCCTGCCCCTTCCCAGCCAACACTCCCTGTCCCCGTCGTCCACCCCCAGAAAGCCACTGCCATGGACTTCTATCACCATCCATTTGTTTCGCCTGTTCTTGAGCTTTGTATTTAGGCTGGTGCAAAAGTAGTTGAGAGCTGGACGTGGTGGGTCACACCTGTAATCCCAGCACTTTGGGAGGCTGAGGCGGGTGGATCACCTGAGGTCAGGAGCTTGAGACCAACCTGGCCAACATGCTGAAACCCCATCTCTACTAAAAAAAAAAAAAAATTAGCCGGGTGTTGGTGGTGGGCACCTGTAATCCCAGCTACTCAGGAGGCTGAGGCAGGAGAATTGCTTGAACCCAGGAGGCGGAGGTTGCAGTGAGCCGAAATTGTGCCACTGCTCTCCAGCCTGGGTGACAGAGTGAGACCCCGTCTCAAAAAAAAAAAAAAAGTAATTGTGGTTTTTACCATTATATATTACCTTTGCTCCAACCTAAAGTAAATAGCCTCCTGCGGTGCAGGCATACCTCGCTTTACGGCACTCCTGTGATGCGGGCGTACCTTGCTTTACGGCACTCATGTGCAGGCGTACCTCGCTTTACGGCACCTCCATGCTTAGTTGAGCTTCAAAGATGCTGCGTTTTTTTTCACCAGTTGGAAGTGTGTGGCCACCTCGCATTCTCTCTGTGTTACGTGTTGGTGGTTCTCACGATCTTTCAGACTTTTTTATTGTTATGACACCTGTTACAGTGATCTGTGATCAGCGATCCTCCATGTTAGCATTGTCATTGTTTTGGGCACCACAGACCGGACCCGGCAACCTTCATCTATGAACGTTGTGTGTTCTGGCTGTTCCGCCCACCAGCCTTTCCCAGCCTCTCTCCTCTCCCCGCTCCAGCCTCCCTATTCCCTGAGACACAAAAATATCCAAGTTAGTCCAGTGAGTAACCCTACAGTGGCCTCGAGGTGTGCGTCTGTCACTTTAAATCAAAAGCTAGAAATGGTTCAGTTTAGCCCGGGCTCGGTGGCTCACGCCTGTAATCCCAGCACTTTGGGAGGCCGAGGCGGGCAGATCACGAGGTCAGGAGTTCAAGACCAGCCTGGCCAACATGGTGAAACCCCATCGCTACTAAAAATAGAGAAATTAGCCGGGCGTGGTGGCGGGCGCCTGTAATTCCAGCTACTCAGGAGTCTGAGGTGGGAGACTCACTTGAACCTGGGAGGCAGAGGTTGCAGTGAGCTGAGATTGTGCCGCTGCACTCCAGCCTGGGTGATAGAGACTGTCTAGAAAAGAAAGAAAGAGGGAGAGAGAGAAGGAAGAGAGAAAGAGAGAGAGAGAGAGAAAAAAGAAATGATTTAGTGTAGTGAGGAAGGCTTGTTGAAAGCCAAGATAGGCTGGAAGCGGAGCCTCTCCTACCAGTTAGCCAAATTGTGAACACACAGGAAAAGTGTTTTAAGGAAATTCAAAGTGCTTCTCCAGTGAACACAAGAATGATAAGGGAAACAGCCCCACTGCTGATATGGAGAAAGTTTGAGTGGTCGGATAAAGATCAAACCAGCCACAACGTTCCCCTGAGCCGGAGCCCAATCCAGAGCAAGGCCCTCGCACTCTGCAAGTCTGTGAAGGCTGAGAGAGGTGAGGAAGCTGCAGAGGAAAGTTTGAAGCTGGCAGAGATTTGTTCATGAGGGGTCAGGAAAGAAGCCGCTTTCATAACAGAAAAAGGCAAAGTGAAGCAGCAAGTACGGATGGAGAAGCTGCGGCCAGTTGTGCAGAAGATGTAGCAAAGACTGTAAAGGAAGGTCACCGCACTAAACATCAGATTTTTGGCCAGGCGCGGTGGCTCACGCCTGTAATCCCAGCACTGTGGGAGGCCGAGGTGGGTGGATCACTTGAGGTCAGGAGTTCAAGATCAGCCTGGCCTACATGGTGAAACCCTGTCTTTACTAAAAATACAAAAATCAGCCAGGCCTGGTGGTGCACATCTGTAATCCCAGCTACTCAGGAGGCTGAGGCAAGAGAATCACTTGAACCTGGGAGGTGGAGCTTGCAGTGAGCTGAGATCGCGCCATTGCACTCCAGCCTGGGCAACAGAGCCAGACTCTATTTCAAACAACAACAACAAAACCAAACAAAACAAAAACAAAACAGATCAGATTTTCAATGTAGACAAAACAGCCTTCTATTGGAAGAAGACATATGTAGGACTTTCATCCTAGAAAAGGGATCCGTGCCTGGCTTCGAAGTTTCAAAGGACAGAAGGACAGGCTGACTCTAGTGTTAGGGGCCAGTGCAGGGGTGACTTTAAACCAGTGCTCACTGACCATTCTGAATATCCCAGGGACTTTAGGAGTAATGCTCAAACAATGGTATTCTTCACAGAAATAGAAAAAAAAAAATGCTAAAATTTATATGGAACCAAAACAAAAATAACAAAACTGGAAGAATCACATTACCTGACTTTATTTGTTTATTTTTTTTGAGACAGAGCCTTGCTCTGTCACCCAGGCTGGAGTGCAGTGGCCCAATCTTGCCTCACTGCAACCTCCGCCTCCCGGGTTCAAGTGAATCTCCTGCCTCAGCCCCCCGAATAGCTGGGATTACAGGCACCTGCCACCAAGCCCAGCTGATTTTTGTATTTTTAGTAGAGACAGGCTTTCACCATGTTGACCAGGCTGGTCTCAAACTCCTGACCTCCGGTGATCTGCCTGCTCCAGCCTCCCACAGTGCTGGGATTACAGGTGTGAGACACCGCACCTGGCCTCTCTGAAGACTTTTGATGCAGCTTTGGTGGAATAATGGTCAGGGCTGGGCTCCCTCAGCTGCTCTTCCCTCTCTCATTCCCATCCTCAATTCTTGGGCAGAAAATAAGTTTATCACTTAACAGTCAGCCTCTGTATCACCCTTGCGACAGGCTGGAGGGTGTCGCTCCAGCCTGGGCAACAAGAGTGAAACTCTGTCTCAAAAAAAAAAAAAAAAGACAAAAAGAAAAAGAATAAAAAATAAAGTTAGCAATATTCAGCAATGATGTGGCCGGCAAGAGCCTGCAGAGGATCATGGGCCAGGTCACCCATCCTCACTGAGTCCTGCAC
This sequence comes from Homo sapiens, assembly GCF_000001405.40. NCBI lineage: Eukaryota > Metazoa > Chordata > Mammalia > Primates > Hominidae > Homo > Homo sapiens. The sequence goes on along the minus strand of NC_000017.11, from coordinate 1,135,264 downwards.
GGCTCTCGGCTCAGCTCACGAGGCTCTCAGGAGCAAGTCCCTGCCTCCTCTCCAGCACGGCCCTCTCCCCCTCTGCTCACTCTGTGTTCTAGCCCTCCTGGCTATTTATAGTCCCCTCCAGGGGCCCTGCTGTTTCCCACTGGGTGCCACTGCCAAGCCTCCTCTCACCGCCTGAAACTCTGCTCCTGTCCCCCACCCGCCTGGCAGGCACCCACACAGCTTTCAAGATCCAATTAATAACAGTAATAATAGCAGCTGAGATGGATTGGGTGCTTCCTATGTGCTAAGTGCCGTATGCGTGTCATCCAGTTTAACCCCCGCAGCGGCCCGTGCACTTGATCCTGTGTCGTCCCCCGTTTCACACGGATTTGCTAAACCCGTATCCATTTAGTAGCAGCCACCCTGTGCCAGGCACTCCTCGGAGGCACAGAGAGGTTAGGAAGTGCCAGAGCGTGGGCTGGAACCTCCGCTGCCGGACCGCAGGGTCCCTGCTCTCAGCCACAGCGATGAACTGTCTTCCTTAGCGTGGCACCAAAGCCTCCCCAGCCACCTCCCCTCCCCGAGTGTTGCCCACACCCTCCGGTCCGCCTTGCCGGGCCTTTGAGGCCTCTGTCGTAGCATCTCGGAGATTTGATTGCTGATTGGACTCGCTTCCTCTCTGGGCTGTGAGGATATCATTTGGAAATGTGTTCATTGTAAGCAGCAGAAAACCCAATATATAGGGACTTGTATTTCCCATGAGCAGGAAATGAGACAGGCTCTTCCTAGTGTGGCTCAGCTGAACAGCATGAGGGAAATGGCTCTGTTCTTTTATTTATTTAATTTAATTTAATTAATTAATTTTTATTTTTTTGAGAGGGAGTCTTGCTCTGTTGCCCCGGCTGGAGTGCAGTGCTACAATCTCAGCTCACTGCAACCTCTGCCTCCTGGGTTCAAGTGATCTCCTGCCTCAGCCTCCTGCGTAGCTGGGATTACAGGTGTGTGCAACCATACCTGGCTAATTTTTGTATTTTTAGTACAGACGGGGTTTCATCATGTTGAGCAGGCTGGTCTCAAACTTCTGACCTCAGGTGATCCACCTGCCTCAGCCTCCCAAAGTGCTGGGATTACAGGCGTGAGTCACCACCCGGCTAATTTTTGTAGTTTCTGTAGAGATGGGGTTTCACCATCTTGCCCAGGCTGGTCTCGAACTCCTGACCTCAGGTGATCTGCCCGCCTTGGCCTCCCAAATTGCTGGGATGACAGGCATGAGCCACGCGCCCGGCCTCTGTTCTTTCTTGACCTGTTCCTGGTGGCAGCAGTAAAGCCACCGTAACTCCAATCATCACCCATGAGTTCAAGGCAAAATGTCTCTTTGTAATCATCAAAGTCAGGGCCTTGCCAGAGGTCCCAGCATGCTTCACTTGGGTCTCAGTGGCCAGAATGGTGTAGGGCAGCCGTTCCTGGTAATGAGAGAGGCAGAGAAAGCGGGTATCTTGCCTGGGACTGGTCTGTTGCCACTTCCTAGAAAACGAGGGTAGAGTAAGCAAGGAAGAAGGGAAGACGGGTGTCGGGTGTCTGCCAGTGCCCTAGAGCGCAGAGACCGTACATTAATTTTTTCAAAATTTCCAGAATCGGAAGGCTCTAATGATTTTGTGTTGTAGCCTTCCAGTCTTTTTTCTATGCACGTATGTTTTTACTTTTTTCAGACATTGTAACATACTTTAATTATTGTTATTAATCTCTTTTTGCACTTGATAAGATGCTATTCATCATCCATATAGTTTTTAATGCTATATAGCAGCCCATCTTGTAGAAAAACCATAATTGACTCAACCAGTCTCATAATTCAGGTTGTTTTTAATATTTCACACTTACAGACAGCCCTGTGACTTACAACTTTATTTTTATGTTCATTTATAACTAGTATCATAGATCATAATCTTATTACGCTGGGTATAAACTGTACCAACCACTAAACCTTTTGATACCAGTTACCAGATTGACTCTAGAAAAGTTGGGCCAACTTTTTTTTTTTTTTTCGAGACGGAGTTTTGCTCTTGCTGCCAAGGCTGGAGAGCAATGTTGTGATCTTGGCTCACCGCAACCTCCACCTCCCAGGTTCAAGCGATTATCCTGCCTCAGCCTTCCCAAGTAGCTGGGATTATAGGCATGTGCTACCACGCCTGGCTAATTTTGTATTTTAGTAGAGATGGGGTTTCTCCGTGTGGGTCAGCCTGGTCTCGAACTCCTGACCTCAGGTGATCCGTCCACTTCGGCCTCCCAAAGACCTGGGGTTACAGGCGTGAGCCACTGTGCCCAGCCAAAGTTGTGCCAGTTATAGGCAGCCTCCAAGAGTTTCTGTGAGTACCTATGCCCTGACAGCTCTGGATATTGTTATTATTATCTTAAAATCCTTGCCAATTTGACACGAACAGTGAAAACTATATAGAACTTTACATTTTCTTTCATTACAAATGAGGTTAACATTCTTTTTAATGCATTTTGAATATTTGTAGTTCTCTTTTAAATTTTCTGTTCATTTCCCTTACACATTTAGAAAGTTGAGGTTTTCATCTTTTCTCATTGGCTTGTAAAAGTGCTTTATTGGCCAGGTGTGGTGGCTCACGCCTGTAATCCCAGCACTTTGGGAGGCCGAGGTGGGTGGATCACAAGGTCAGGAGTTGGAGACCATCCCGGCTAACACGGTGAAACCCCGTCTTTACTAAAAATACAACAATTAGCCAGGCATGGTGGTGCATGCCTATAATCCCAGCTACTCGGGAGGCTGAGACGGGAGAATCGCTTGAACCTGGCAGGTGGAGGTTGCAGTGAGCTGAGATCGTGCCAATGCATTCCAGCCTGGGTGACAGAGCGAGACTCCATCTCAAAAAAAAAAAAAAAAAAAGTGCTTTCGGTATTCAAGTATTATCATAATATGTAGAATACAGGAAAGTTCCTGGGAGAGGGCACAGATGAGGCAGATTTGAGGGCAAAACAGGATTTCACCAGGTGGACAAGGGGTAAGGAGAGGTATATATATATGTGTATGTGTGTGTGTGCGTGTCTTTGTGTGTGTGTGTGTTCATAGAGACAGAGTCTCCTTATGTTGGCCAGGCTGGTCTCAAACTCCTGGGCTCAAGTGATCCTCCTGCCTTGGAGGATGCCCCACATCATAGTGATGGGATGACAGGCGTGAGCCACCGCGCCCAGCAAGGAGGGTTTTCTAGGCACGGGAGCAGTGTGTGCAAAGAGGGGGGAGCTGTGTGCGTGGCAGGCACTGCATTTGGTGTGCAAAGAGGGGGGAGCTGTGCGCGTGGCAGGCACTGCATTTGGTGTGCAAAGAGGGGGGAGCTGTGCGCGTGGCAGGCACTGCATTTGGTGTGCAAAGAGGGGGGAGCTGTGCGCGTGGCAGGCACTGCATTTGGTGTGCAAAGGGGGGGAGCTGTGCGCGTGGCAGGCACTGCATTTGGTGTGCAAAGGGGGGGAGCTGTGCGCGTGGCAGGCACTGCATTTGGTGTGCAAAGAGGGGGGAGCTCTGCGCGTGGCAGGCACTGCATTTGGTGTGCAAAGGGGGGAGCTGTGCGCGTGGCAGGCACTGCATTTGGTGTGCAAAGGGGGAGCTGTGTGCGTGTCAGGCACTGCATTTGGTGTGCAAAGGGGGGAGCTGTGTGCGTGTCAGGCACTGCATTTGGTGTGCAAAGGGGGGAGCTGTGTGCGTGGCAGGCACTGCATTTGGTGTGCAAAGAGGGGGAGCTGTGCGCGTGGCAGGCACTGCATTTGGTGTGCAAAGGGGGGAGCTGTGCGCGTGGCAGGCACTGCATTTGGTGTGCAAAGAGGGGGGAGCTGTGCGCGTGGCAGGCACTGCATTTGGTGTGCAAAGGGGGGAGCTGTGTGCGTGTCAGGCACTGCATTTGGTGTGCAAAGGGGGGAGCTGTGTGCGTGTCAGGCACTGCATTTGGTGTGCAAAGGGGGGAGCTGTGTGCGTGGCAGGCACTGCATTTGGTGTGCAAAGGGGGGAGCTGTGTGCGTGGCAGGCACTGCATTTGGTGTGCAAAGAGGGGGGAGCTGTGTGCGTGGCAGGCACTGCATTTGGTGTGCAAAGGGGGGAGCTGTGCGCGTGGCAGGCACTGCATTTGGTGTGCAAAGAGGGGGGAGCTGTGCGCGTGGCAGGCACTGCATTTGGTGTGCAAAGGGGCGAGCTGTGTGCGTGGCAGGCACTGCATTTGGTGTGCAAAGGGGAGAGCTGTGTGCGTGTCAGGCGCTGCATTTGTGGCTTAATGCTGCCATTAGAGATTGCCATGAACTTGATGGCTTAGAACAGCAGAAATCGATGCTCTCGCAGTCTGAAGACCAGAAGTCTGAAATCAAAGTCCCAGCCCCTCCCCAGGCTGCCGGGGCAGAGTTCCCACTTACTCCCCTCTTTCAGTGTCTGGTGGCTCCAGGCATTCCTTGGTTGGTGGCAGCCCCAGTCCAAACCTTGCCTCTGTCTTCTCTTCTGTCTGTGTTTTCCCCCTTTCTCTTTCCATAGGGACACAGCATTGGATTTAGGACCCACCGGTTAATCGACAATGATCTCATCTTGAGACCCTTCATTTATTCACATCTACAAAGAATGTTTTCCAAATAAGGTCACATTCCCAGGTCCCAGGAATTAGAATCTGGACATACCTTGTGGGGGGGCCACTACTGAACCCACCGCAGGGAGCTAGAAGGAGTCCGATGTCACAGGGCAGGAGAATAGGACCCTGGAGAGGTGGAGCAGGTGCAGACCACAAAGGGCCTTGAGCTGAGGAGCGGGGCTGTGTCCCTAAGTGAATGGGGGGCAACACGGTCTGATTTGTGACCCGGCTGCTGTGGGGAGGGTGCTGGAATTGTCCTTGTAAGAGTTGGTGAGGGTGGGGAGGAGCGGGGATGCCTCACAGTGCAGGAGATGAGGGGCGGGAATGTGGAGGCATCTAGAATGGCTCCCAGGTTCCCTACGTGTGTGGTCTTTGGGAAAAGGCTGCGTTTGAGGCTCCTAAAGGTGGAGATGCCCAGGAGTCTGCAGACCTGACTTCTTCCGGGAGCAGGAACACAATTCGGGAGAGGAAGGTGATGCGAGGTTGATGGAAGCTGGCGAGTACCAGTCCCTGCCACCACCACCATTTTATCATGAACAATTGTAAGCACACAGAAAAGTTGAAAGAATTCACAGTGAACACCCATTCACCTGCTGTCTAACGTTCCCAGTGATGATTTTTATGCGCTTGCTTTATCACACAGCTGTCCATCTTTCCATCCCTCTGAACATCATCATTCCATCTTGGTTTTTTTGTTGTTGGTTGGTTGGTTGTTTCGAGACAGAGTCTCACTCTGTCACCCAGGCTGGCGTGCAATGGTGCAATCTCAGCTCATCACAACCCCCACCTCCCGGGTTCAAGCAGTTCTCCTGCCTCAGCCTCCCAAGTTGCTGGGATTACAGGCACCCGCCATCGCACCCAGCTAATTTTTGTATTTTTAGTAGAGAGGGGGTTTCACCATGTTGGCCAGGCTGTTCTTGAACTCCTAACCTCGTGATCCACCTGCCTCGGCCTCCCAAAGTGCTGGGATTACAGGTGTGAGCCACCGCGTTCAGCCCATCTTATTTTTTATGTATTTCGGAGTAAGTTGCAGAGAGTTGTACACTTCACTCCAGCATGTCACTCACTGGAGCCCAACATTTGCTGAAGTGCATGAATCTTTTTTTGTTCTTGTTTTTGTTTTTGTTTTTTTGAGACGGAGTCTTGATCTGTCGCCCAGTCTGGAGTGCAGTGTCGCGATCTCAGCTCACTGCAAGCCCCGCCTCCTGGGTCCACACCATTCTTCTGCCTCAGCCTCCTAAGTAGCTGGGACAACAGGCGCCAACCACCACGCCTGGCTAATTTTTTTGTAGCCAGTATGGCTTCACCATATTGGCCAGTATGGTCTTGATCTCCTGACCTCAGATGATCCGCCCGCCTCGGCCTCCCACAGTGCTGGGATTACAGGCGTGAGCCCCTGTGCCTGGCCCTGTCATCTAGGTTTTAAGCCCCTCGTGCATTAGGTATTTGTCCTAATGCTCTCCCTCCCCTTGCCCTCCACCCTCCAACAGGCCCCAGTGTGTGACGTTCCCCTCCATGGGAACAGCAATTTTTAAGGGATGGGTAGAGAAAGAAGATTTCACCAAGGAGCCTGAGAAGGACGGTGACAGTCAGAGGAAAAGCACCGAAGCGGGGACGTCAGGGAAGATCACCTGGGTCAGTTACCTTAGGTTTGACTGCAGATAATAGAAAAACCAAGTAACAGAGGCTCAAATTGCATTTGGCACTTTTTCTTTCTTTTATGTAAAAACGCCCCGAGGTAGACCTTCCTGGGGTGGGCTCCACTGTGCCCTCAGTGACCTGGACTCCCAGCTTGTGAAAACGTCCCGAGGTAGACCTTCCTGGGGTGGGCTCCACTGTGCCCTCAGTGACCTGGACTCCCAGCTTGTGAAAACGTCCCGAGGTAGACCTTCCTGGGGTGGGCTCCACTGTGCCCTCAGTGACCTGGACTCCCAGCTTTCTGCTCAGCTGTCTTCAGTGGTGGCTTCTATCCTCAGCTCACCTCATGGTTCAGGATGGCTGCTGGGGCTCCAGCCATCCCATCAACTCTCCAAACCAGCAACAGAAGGAGGAACAAGGGCAGTGTGGATAGTGTACCTTTCGGCTAAATCAGTCTCTTCCAGCAGCTTCCTGCAAGTTCCACACATATCCCTGTAACATCTTGTTGTCTAGAACGTAATCATATGGCTCACACCATCAGGAAAGGTGTCTTTGAACTAGCTGCTGGGTGCACTGCCGCTCCGAATACAGTAGGATTTCTGTTAGTCGGCGGGGAAATGGATATTGGCTGCCAGCAGCCTTTGCCTTGTCTGCCTTTTCTTCTTTTTTGAGATCTGGTGCCCAAGCCGCTGTCTGCTCAGCATACCCACCTGTGGCCGTCGGAGACTGAAGCCTGTGCTCAGTAGGTCCCCATCTTCCTCCCCCAGGGTTCCTGCCTTCTCCGAGGATTGGTTTCCCCATCTTTTCTGTACCCCTTTTCCTGGTTGGAGTCTCCTGGGCTCTCATGGTTTTGTGGGGGCAGAAATGAAAGGGGAAGGCCCTGGAAATGTTCGCAGGCCGAGCCCTTTCGCCGCCCCTGGGCCTCCGCCCACCAGCACCCTGTCCTCAGGCCCCCTGCGTTCAGCTCCATGGTCAGCCCCCCTTAACCAGGAGGGATATGGAAGGGGACTTCTTTGGAGTGAGATTCAGAGGGAAAGGGAGGGCATTTGAGACCTGGGTTCTGATCCTGTGATCTTCGGCAATTGTATGTAAATTGGGAAAAATAAGAACTGCCTCCCCGCGGAACATCCAGGCTGGAAGGAGCAGGGGATGGCAGGGCCCGTGGTCCTCTGCTCTGATCAGGATGAACTGTGCATGTGGGGAGACTGGCAGAGACCTTCCCTACCGTCCCTTCCCCCCCGTTGATCTTGGACGATCTCCCAAGTGTGTGGGGTCCATTCCTGCGACCCCTGGGAATTGGTCAGTGTACAGGAGAGTCTGCTTGGCCGGCTGGAATCTAAACTGTGGGCAAAGCCGCGGTCCACTATTGCTTATTTTCCCTGGACTCCAGGCACCAACAGGGCAGCCTGGAGCCTCCTGGAGAGGAGGAGGGAGGAGGGAGGGGCCGGCGGGAGGCTGCCTTCCATCCCCTCCTGTGCTTCTCCAGAGTGAGGGGGTGTCACCAAACGGCCAGGCCCTTCACGGACCCAGACTCAGGCCAGCTGGGTGCCGCTGTGCCTCTTCCTCCTCCCCCTGGAAGGACCAGAGTCATTTCACATCCCTTCAGCCACAGACACAAGTGTCATGGTCTCCAGGGCACTGGGCCTTATGTCCTAGGTGCGTGGCCTACACACATCTCAGTGGGAGGGCATCCTGGGTCCTGCCCAGGTACGTGGCGTACACGCGTCTCAGTGATGGGGCATCCCTGGGTCCTGCCCGGGTGTGTGGTGTACACTCATCTCAGTGATGGGGCATCCCTGGGTCCTGTGGTTCTTCATACACAACCCTGTCTAGGGAAAAAACTAGTCCATGTCCCCTGGCAGCTGAATGGGGCATTGGCTCAGGGACGAGGAGAGGCAGCCGACAGAAGCAGGTGCAGCGAGCCTAGGGGAAGCGCTCGGCTGCCAAAAGGCCAGATTGGGCAGAGTGTGGCCACGGCCAGGCGTCCCGGTGACCTGTTGACACCATTCTCCAGCTGCTGGTTGCCTGTGGGCTGGTGTGTTGTGACAGAGGAGGGAAGAGCTGGGGCCCCCGTGGAGAACTTGGCTGGCTGGGACTTGGCTGAAGCCTCAGACCTGAGACAGACGGTGCGATCCTCTGCTCATTCATTCGCTCCACGCACTTTCCCCGAGAGCCTGCCACAGGTGGGGTTGTGGGTGCTGGCGTACAGTGATGACTCAGATGCTCACCTCCTGCCCCAGGGGCTCAAGGACAAAGGGGCAGGATTCACTAAGGTGCCAGGGGGCCAGGTGCCATGGGGAGGGTGACCTGGAGGAAAGGATGTCTGGGCAGATGGCAGGGCAGGCTCAGCCAGCCTCCCCCATCACACTGTGCGAGATCCGAAGATGCCTGGCCAGGGAGTCCCGCCCGGAAGATACCCGGGGAGGTTTAACAAGCGGACGCCGCCACTGGGCAGTCCAGTGCGTAGGAGGCTCCTGCTGGCCCCAAGGCTGCCGGCACGGTGATCTTCGTGTCTCCAGGACGCCCTGCGGTGCCAGCTCCCGCTGGCCCGCACGAGTGCTGAAGCTTACCCCTGCTCTGCGATGAGTGTGAGAGGGGTGTCCACCCCCCGCTGGCGGCCCCAGCCCAAGGAGGTCCACCACAGCCCTCGGGAGCAACACTGCCACGTTCTCCGTTGCCAGTCGTGGTGGGTCAGAGCTGGGGAGCAAACAGGCCAAGGGGCAGGGGCCGGTTTGTGGGAGGGTCCCTCCTATAGCCATGCTGGTGGGGCTGGACGCAGGGGCCTTTCCGAGGCCGCCCTCGTAACCCTTTTGGAAAATGTGAAGCCCTGAGCTGCTGACCTGCACACCCCGCTCGCTGCACTGGCTCAGCCTCCCCTCCCAAGGTGGGTGGGCTCCGTGCCTGGGCTCTGGAGCCCAAGTGGTGCTGGCAGCCCTGGGGGGTTAATGCGGCTCAACTTCCCGGTCGCCTTTCCTTCCCTCCTCCTTTGAAGGAAGCCCACACTGGGGTGATAGAAATAAGCACCGGCTCCGAGGAGTCTGCTGTGAGCCCCTGTCCCTGCCAGGCCTGGGCACAGCCTCCTCGCCCACGCCCTGCTGCCTTGGGCTCCGTCCTCCGTGCGGGGCCTTGTTCTGAGGGCTGAGGGCTCCCCTCCCACACTCCAGAACCTGCCCTGGACCCCTGGAGGGAGTGGGCTCAGTACAAATGGTACCCAAGGAGGAGGGCCACAGGAAGTGACATCGACCGGCCCCCCCCACCTCCTTATTCCCTATAAAAAGCAAAATGGTGACTCAGAGAGGAGAGTTGGAAGCGTCCTGCCTCTTGCTCCCACTGTTAATTTTTACACTTGGAATTAGGCAGAAGGCAAAGAAAACAGCAGCTTGAAATACGCGGCTGACATGCTCTTCATCGGGTAGCAACAGCAGAGCCGCTCCTCCCCGCCTCCCAGCAGCCCCGGAGCGGGCAGGGCCCGGTGCCTGCTGGCTCTCCCCCGCCCCTCACCAGGCCCAGGCCCCCGCACAGCCCCCGCCCGGGCCAGGCGTGGATGGTGCGGCCGGGGCCATGGCTGCCGGGGGCCGCCGCCGGCGCCCACTACGCTACCAGTCCCTGGCAGCTCTGGTGGAGGATTCTCAGTGGCCTTTCTTGTTCCTTGTCTCAGACTTCAGCTACGGGACGGACGAGTACGACGGAGAGGGGAATGAGGAGCAGAAGGGGCCCCCGGAGGGCTCAGAGACCATGCCGTACATCGATGAGTCGCCCACCATGTCCCCGCAGCTCAGCGCCCGCAGCCAGGGCGGGGGGGATGGCGTCTCCCCGACTCCACCTGAGGGACTGGCTCCTGGGGTAGGTACACCGGCTTTTCTTTCTGGGTTTGGGGAGGGGTGACGGGAAGGCCTGGGCATCGTGGGCCAGGCCCTGCTTGGGTTGGTCTCGAGAGATTGGGACTGGAGACGTTTGGACCTGGCCGTTCTTGGTGCCTCGTCATCTCGTCCTGGCCCTGGACCCCTCTCAGGCTCGGGCTTCCCTCCCCACCTGCTTTGCCAACGCTGCCGCCCCTGTCTCTCCCCGTCTACTAGCCGTCTGCTCCCCAGGCCTCCCAGACCCCTCCGTGCCTCTTTCAGCTTTCCCCTGTTAGCCTGTCTCCTCCAGAGGACCCAGGAGAGGACCAGGCTCTCCTCCCCTCTGCACCCAGGCCAGGCAGTGGCTGCATGCGTGGCCCGTGGGCTCCAGGTGTTCAGATGCTGCTCCCGCAAAGCCAGCCTGGGCCTGGTGCTCCCTGTGGGTGCAATGAGCTGCCCGCTCCAGCCCTCCTCTGTTCACTCTGGAAGGGAACAAACTCTGATGGCATCCACCTCTCCTTGTTGACAGAGACAAGAGTTCTGCTCCAGAGAGAAGCATTGTAGAAGGAATATTAAGTATGTGCTCTGAGACAGGCCAGGGATAGAAACTGTGGAGGGTTTGCGGTCCTTGTCATTAACGTGTTCCTGGCGACAGGGACTGACGCTGTCTGAGCGCAGCTCGTGTGTGCCTGTCGGAGACACATGAACGAGCAAAACAGAGGTTCTGGGGGTTGTTTGCCTGGAGCTGGTGGGGGAGAAGAATCCAAGCCGGTCCTCTGTGGGGGGTGTGTGTTGCAGGAGGCGGTGGGAGTGCCCCATCCTTGCTTGGTCCTGCTCGTCCGGGTGTGTTTTGTAGGGGGTCTCCGTCCTGCCTTCTGACGTCCCCAGAGGAGCAGTCGCTGAGATGCCACGGGCTGCCTCTTCTTCCTCCAGGGGCTAGTGCCCCCCCACCCCAGCTGAGGCCGCCTGAACCCTCCCATTCTTGAGAACCCCCTGCTCCTTCCAGCCCCCCCGGCCACCCTCCACCCCCCACAGAGCTCTCACCCCTCTTCACACACCGGGGTGGCTGTTATAGCCTTTGGCAACAAGGGCCTTGGCAACGGGCTTCCCACTTGGGGGAAGCCACATTGCTGCCATGGCAACAGAGGCCGAGGCCGAGTTTAGCGGCAGTCCAGGCGTGCACCTGTGGGAAGGGCTGGCGGGGGGCAGGTGGGAGGCAAGGGGGCCGGCGAGGGGGTTGGTCAGTGTGTTGTTGACCTGCCCTAAGACGGGAGGCGGGTTAGAGACAAGCGTCTCGGACCTGCGGGGGCAGGGTTTTTGCCCTGGTTCTCCTGGAGGCATTGGGCTCAGGGTACAAATAGTAACCCAAGGAGGCAGAGCAGGTGTTCAGGGACCTGAACGGGGGCCAACCAGGGGAGAGCAAGGAGGAGAAGACTCTCGCTCCCATCTCTGCCTTCAGCTCTCAAACCACAGCAGGGCTCAGAGCCCCGCCCGGGGGGACTCAGCTCTCACCCCACTGTGAGCAGCTGCAGGAAGATGCTGCGGAATCCCGGTGTGGGGCCAGGGTCTTTGCCGCTGCCTGTCCCCGCGCCACCTCCCTCTTTGCTCCCTGTCCCTGTGCCCTGTCCTTGTCGCGTGACCACCATGACTGGTTTCCGTGTCCGTCGATTTTCCGATTCCTTTGGTGCTGGCAGGTGCCTTCTCTCGGGAGACAGATCACGGGCGTCACGCACAGATGCCCCCGCCTGGCGCTCCGGGGCTTCGGGGCAGAACTTGACTTGGTGGCTGTGCGTCTTGCTTGGTGGCTCACGAGGGACTCACTTGGCTTGAGGACCTTGAAATCCAGAGATGCTAGAGTGACTGCCCCCTAAAGTGCTTGTGGCCCCCAGGGTTGATGTTTACACCATCGACTAGAAGCCACGCAAGGCAGGAGTAGGGAGCACTTGTCCAGCCTGGGGATCGTCCGGGCAAAGGTCCCATCCGCGGCACCTGCCTTCCCTCCTCAGGGAGCGTTTCTGCCCTTTCTGCTGGGTCACCGGCCCCACCTAGTGGACTCTGCAGGGATTGCTGTTTACACGGGGTGCCTGGAGGGAGCTGACGCCTCTTCCTGAGTACTTGGGGATGTTTTGGTTAAAAACACTATTAATAAAAGACCGAGGTTTCTGCGGCTTGGCTGTGCTTATTTGGCCAAACAGGTCCCCTCCCCTACCAGGCTTCCTGCTGGGGCCTTGGGAACAGGGGGGACTTCTGGACCAAATCAGACAATTGTTGTAGATATTCAGATATCTGGCTTCTGGCACCGCCTTATCGCTGGGCCTTCCACGCCCAAATATGCAGCCAACGGGAAGCCCAAGGTTGAGTCTTTGTGTTAGTCAGTGTTCTCTAGAGAAACAAAACCAACAGGGTGTGTGCGTTATCTGTATCTATATCTACATACGAAGAAAAGTATTAGAAGGAATTGATTCAGGTGATTATGGAGGCTTAGAGGTCCTAATCTCTGCAGTCAATAGCTGGAGACCCAGGACAGCCAATATTGGTTCCAGTCCAAGTCCAAAGGCCTGAGAGCTAGGAGAGCCAGGGATGTAAATTCCAGCTCATAAGCCAGTGGACTCGAGGCTCAGGAAGAGCCAGTGTTTCAGTCCGAGTCTGGAGGCTGGAGGAGGCCAACATCCCAGCTCACGCTCAGGTAGTCAGGCGAGAGGAGCTTCCTCTTATTCTGCCTTTTTGTTAATTCAGGTGTTCAGTGGATTGGATGAGGCCCACCTACACTGGGGAGGAGTCTTTTTACTCAGTCCACCAATACACATATCAACCTCATCCCAAATGCCTCACAAATATGTCCGGATTAATGTTTGGACAAGTATCTGGACACCTTGTGGCCTAGTCAGGTTGGCCTAGAAAATGAAGTGTCATACTATTATTCCTTCAGCCACCCAGGATGGAAAGCAGATAAGCTTTGCGCAGATGAAAATCTATTACTCTCAGGCTGGGCGCGGTGGCTCACGCCTGGAATCCCAGCACTCTGGGAGACTGAGGCAGCCAGATTACCTGAGGTCAGGAGTTTGAGACTAGCCTGGCCAACATGGTGAAACCCTGTCTCTACTAAAAATACAAAAATTAGCCGGGCGTGGTGGCACATGCCTGTAATCCCAGCTACTCAGGAGGCTGAGGCGGGAGAATCACTTGAACCTGGGAGGTGGAAGTTGCAGCGAGCCGAGATCTTGCCACTGCGCTCCAGCCTGGGTGACAAAGCGAGACTCCATCTCAAGAAAATAAAAGAAAATCTACTCTTTAGCTGTGAGACATTGGGCAAGTGTCCTCATACCGCTGAGCCTCAGTCTCCTTGTCTCTAGATAGCTCTAACTCCCCTGAAAGGTAGTGGGGAGGAGGCCCCACTGTGAGCAGCTCTCAGACCACAGCAGGGCTCAGAGCCCTGCCTTGGGGACTCAGCTCCCATCCCACTGTGAGCAGCTCTCAGACCACAGCAAGGCTCAGAGCCCTGCCTGGGGGACTCAGCTCCCATCCCACTGTGAGCAGCTCTCAGACCACAGCAGGGCTCAGAGCCCTGCCTTGGGGACTCAGCTCCCATCCCACTGTGAGCAGCTCTCAGACCACAGCAGGGCTCAGAGCCCTGCCTGGGGGGACTCAGCTCCCATCCCACTGTGAGCAGCTGCAGGAAGATGCTGCGGAATTTCAGCATGAGGGGAGGCCTGCAGCATTAGGCCTGGCTCACCAAAGTGCACAGCCCTTGGCCACCAGGGCCCACAAGACTTTTCTCGCCAGGTTTAGAGGGCTGGGGAGCCAACAGCATTACCACTGCAAAGACCAAGTCTGATCAATATCTGCTGCACCATGACCGAACCTGCTTTTGCAATCAACCTCCTTTCTGCCACATGGGGTGGCCCCGGGTGAAGCCGGGTCTCTGCGGTGTTGGCAGGACATGCTCCTCTCTCCCCAGCACGCCCTTCCACAGCCTTGCACTCTGCCTTTGTCTTCTTTTGTGTCCCCAAGACATGGATCCCACAGAGGTATTAGGGTGAAACCTGAAGCCCTGCCCCATAAACCCTGCCCAAGTCCAGGCTGAGCAGGGCAGCACGGCAGGGCCAGGCCCACAGACCACGGGTGGCTCCATTCAGCGGAGACTGCCCAGTTTCACTCTGAGAAGAAAGGGCCAGGACTCATCTCAGCTGACAAGTGGGGGTGTAGGTTCCTAAGGCAGGACCATGGTCTTACAGAAAACCCGCCTCCCCACAGGCCACAGACTCCTCTGTCTGCTTGCCTCTTGGGAAGCTTAGTAAAAAGGGGCTACAAGGCAGAGAGAAGAACTGGGTTTTGTCCCCACTCTACCACTGTCTCACTGTGTGGCCTGAGGGGTGTCACTCATGACTCCCCACCAGAGCTGCAGTTTGCTCATCTGTAGTGTGAAGACACTGAGAATTTCCTCCCTCCTGACCTCACAGGGCTCAAACCTCACAGCTGTTGTGAGGTTTCTGTGAGATGGTGTTTGGCAGAATGCTTTGTCAATGTAAAATCGAAACAGGGGATTAGACTCCAGCCTGCAGGAGAACCCAAAGATAAGGGTGGAGGCGAATTGAAATCCTCACCATTGGCCGGGTGCGGTGGCTCACGCCTGTCATCCCAGCACTTTGGGAGGCCGAGGTGGGTGGATCACCTGAGATCAGTAGTTCAAGACCATCCTGGCCAGCATGGTGAAACCCCGTCTCTACTAAAAACATACACAAAAAATTAGCTGGGTGTGGTGGCAGGTGCCTATAATCCCAGCTACTTGGGAGACTGAGGCAGGAGAATTGCTAGAACCCAGTGGGGGCAGAGGTTGCAGTGAGCTGAGATCACGCCATTGCACTCCAGCAGCCAGGGGGACAGAGTGAGATGCCATCTCAAAAGAAAAAGAAAAAAAGGAAAAAAAAAATCATCATCATTGTCCCTATCATCCTCTTCCTCCTCCTCCCCCTCATCACAGCTGCTTAGAGAGGCTTGTGCTGAACCTTTCACGTGTTGGTTTCATTTAAGAGCCCCAACAACTCTATGAGGTAGGTGCTATAACCATCTCCACATTACAGGTGCGAAAACTGGGGCTCGGAGAGGTGACGTAATTTGCCTAAGATTAGCTGGGCATGGTAGTTCACTCCCATAATCCCATCTACAAGGGGAACTGAGGCAGGAGGATCGCTTGAGCCCAGGAGTTGGAGGCTGAGAGGTGCTAGGATCACGCCTGCGAATAGGCATTGTACCCCGCCTGGGTGACAGAGCAAGACTCCATCTCTTAATAATAGCTATTAATATTATTGTTTGTCCAAGACCATGCAGCCAGTGGGGCAGCGTGTTATTGAAACTTGGGTTTCTATGATGCCAGAGCCTGCACAGCGCTGTCAGGTCCCGCTCACACGCCCTCCCTTGTGAAGCTTTCACACCCACCCCGCCGCTGATCCTACTGCAGTTTGGGAGGTGTGCACGGTCACTTGTGGGGTGCATCCGCCCTGTGAGATCAGGACCTTAATCCCTGATCATCTCTGTGGACCCCAGTGGAAGCTTCTTGGCACCTAGGGGTTCTCAACTGGTATTTGTGGAATGGAACCAAGTAGTTCTGGGATGTTCAGTCAGGAGGAAGGGAGGAGCAAGGAAGGCTCAGGCAATAACGCTGGGAAGAACTCAGGCTCAGGGATAACGCTGGGAGGAACTCAGGCTCAGGGATAACGCTGGGAAGAACTCAGGCTCAGGGATAACGCTGGGAGGAACTCAGGCTCAGGGATAACGCTGGGAGGAACTCAGGCTCAGGGATAACGCTGGGAGGAACTCAGGCTCAGGGATAACGCTGGGAGGAACTCAGGCTCAGGGATAACGCTGGGGAGGAACTCAGGCTCAGGGATAAAGCTGGGGAGGAACTCAGGCTCAGGGATAACGCTGGGAGGAACTCAGGCTCAGGGATAACGCTGGGAGGAACTCAGGCTCAGGGATAACGCTGGGAGGAACTCAGGCTCAGGGATAACGCTGGGAGAACTCAGGCTCAGGGATAACGCTGGGAGAACTCAGGCTCAGGGATAACGCTGGGAGGAACTCAGGCTCAGGGATAACGCTGGGAGGACTCAGGCTCAGGGATAACGCTGGGAGGAACTCAGGCTCAGGGATAACGCTGGGAGGAACTCAGGCTCAGGGATAACGCTGGGGGGAACTCAGGCTCAGGGATAACGCTGGGGAGGACTCAGGCTCAGGGATAACGCTGGGGAGGACTCAGGCTCAGGGATAACGCTGGGAAGAACTCAGGCTCAGGGATAACGCTGGGAGGAACTCAGGCTCAGGGATAACGCTGGGAGAACTCAGGCTCAGGGATAACGCTGGGAGAACTCAGGCTCAGGGATAACGCTGGGAGGAACTCAGGCTCAGGGATAACGCTGGGAGGACTCAGGCTCAGGGATAACGCTGGGAGGAACTCAGGCTCAGGGATAACGCTGGGAGGAACTCAGGCTCAGGGATAACGCTGGGGGGAACTCAGGCTCAGGGATAACGCTGGGGAGGACTCAGGCTCAGGGATAACGCTGGGGAGGACTCAGGCTCAGGGATAACGCTGGGAAGAACTCAGGCTCAGGGATAACGCTGGGAGGAACTCAGGCTCAGCGATAACGCTGGGGAGAACTCAGGCTCAGGGATAACGCTGGGAGGAACTCAGGCTCAGGGATAACGCTGGGAGGAACTCAGGCTCAGGGATAACGCTGGGAGGAACTCAGGCTCAGGGTTAACGCTGGGAGGACTCAGGCTCAGGGATAACGCTGGGAGGAACTCAGGCTCAGGGATAACGCTGGGAGGAACTCAGGCTCAGGGATAATGCTGGGAGGACTCAGGCTCAGGGATAACGCTGGGGAGAACTCAGGCTCAGGGATAACGCTGGGGAGGACTCAGGCTCAGGGATAACGCTGGGAGGAACTCAGGCTCAGGGTTAACGCTGGGGAGAACTCAGGCTCAGGGATAACGCTGGGGAGGAACTCAGGCTCAGGGATAACGCTGGGAGGAACTCAGGCTCAGGGATAACGCTGGGGGGAACTCAGGCTCAGGGATAACGCTGGGGAGGACTCAGGCTCAGGGATAACGCTGGGAAGGACTCAGGCTCAGGGATAACGCTGGGAGGAACTCAGGCTCAGCGATAACGCTGGGGAGAACTCAGGCTCAGGGATAACGCTGGGAGGAACTCAGGCTCAGGGATAACGCTGGGGAGAACTCAGGCTCAGGGATAACGCTGGGAGGAACTCAGGCTCAGGGATAACGCTGGGAGGAACTCAGGCTCAGGGTTAACGCTGGGAGGGACTCAGGCTCAGGCAATAACGCTGGGAGGGACTCAGGCTCAGGGATAACGCTGGGAGGACTCAGGCTCAGGGATAACGCTGGGGAGAACTCAGGCTCAGGGATAACGCTGGGAGGAACTCAGGCTCAGGGTTAACGCTGGGGAGAACTCAGGCTCAGGGATAACGCTGGGGAGGAACTCGGGCTCAGGGATAACGCTGGGAGGAACTCGGGCTCAGGGATAACGCTGGGAGGAACTCGGGCTCAGGGATAACGCTGGGAGGAACTCGGGCTCAGGGATAATGCTGGGAGGAACTCGGGCTCAGGGATAACGCTGGGAGGAACTCGGGTTCAGGGATAATGCTGGGAGGAACTCCGGCTCAGGGATAACGCTGGGGAGGACTCAGGCTCAGGGATAACGCTGGGAGGAACTCAGGCTCAGGGATAACGCTGGGAGGAACTCAGGCTCAGGGATAACGCTGGGAGGAACTCAGGCTCAGGGATAACGCTGGGAGGAACTCAGGCTCAGGGATAACGCTGGGAGGAACTCAGGCTCAGGGATAACGCTGGGGAGGACTCAGGCTCAGGGATAACGCTGGGAGGAACTCAGGCTCAGGGATAACGCTGGGGAGGAACTCAGGCTCAGGGATAACGCTGGGAGGAACTCAGGCTCAGGGATAACGCTGGGAGGAACTCAGGCTCAGGGATAACGCTGGGAGGAACTCAGGCTCAGGGATAACGCTGGGAGGAACTCAGGCTCAGGGATAACGCTGGGAGGAACTCAGGCTCAGGGATAACGCTGGGAGGAACTGCAGCCTCTTCTTCCCTTTCTTGGTCTCTTCAGAAGGCTTAGGGCTTGGGATTCGAGGTTGCTGGTAGGTGCGTGAAGAGGCGGCATGGCAGCCAGGAACTCCTGAGATGGTGCCTGCTCCACTCCCTCCTGACTGCTCCGGACCTGGGTTGTGTGGTTCAGGGACTCCTCGAGTTTCAGCCTCCGCCCCCCAGCAGCCGGCCCCTGCATTTCTCCCCTTCCTGGATCTTGGGTCCCTGCTGCAAAGAGAAGGACACGAGCTGGACCCTCCCGTGTGCCAGGTGCTGTGCTAGGAGCCCAGGGGCTGCCCTGCCACCCAAGTCCTCCAGCCATGGGGCTGCCCCCGTTTAGTAGATGAAGACACTGAGGCTCAGGGTGGCTCCTGGGCTTGTCCCAGTTGGGAAGGAGGTAAGTCGGAAGTAGGTAGACTAGTGCCTTGGTTGTGACCCTGGGTCCCGTCATCGCTGGCTCCCGTCCTCTCTGGCCCTCCTACATTCACACCTGGCTGGGATCTTGCTCACCTCTGCATA
This sequence comes from Homo sapiens, assembly GCF_000001405.40. NCBI lineage: Eukaryota > Metazoa > Chordata > Mammalia > Primates > Hominidae > Homo > Homo sapiens. The sequence goes on along the minus strand of NC_000017.11, from coordinate 1,116,552 downwards.
CTGTTAATCTTCCCTGATGAACCACACCTGGCTGGCCTGGCTCATCCCACAGCTCTCACGCCCTGTCTGGGATCTCCGTCTTCTGGCTAGCTAGCAGCCCTAGAGTTGATGCCGTAATTACCCCCATTCTATAGATGAGGAAACGGAGGCACAGGGAGACTAGATGACATGCCCAGGTCACACAGTTGGCAAGAGGCAGAGCTGGGGCTCACATCCAGAGTGCAGGGGAGTTTTCTTTCTGTTTTAGTTTATTTGTTTCACTGTATAAACAGTGTTGTGTACCGGCTTCTCCTCAACATTAGCTTTATTTTATTTTATGTAATTTATTTATTTGAGATGGCGTCTCCCTCTGTCACCCAGGCTGGAGTCCAGTGGCGCAATCTCGGCTCATTGCAGCCTCCGCCTCCTGGGTTCAAGTGATTCTCCTGCCTCAGCCTCCCAAGTAGCTGGGATTACAGGCCACCACATCCGGCTAATTTTGTATTTTTAGTAGAGATGGGGTTTCATCATGTTGGCCAGGCTGGTCTTGAACTCCCAACCTCAGGTGATCCGCCCGCCTCGGCCTCCCAAAGTGCTGGGATTACAGGCGTGAGCCACCTCGCCCAGCCTATGTATTTTATTTTTTTGAGACAGAGTCTCCTTCTGTCACCCAGGCTGGAGTGCAGTGGTGTGATCTCGGCTCACTGCAGCTTCCGCCTCCCGGGGTTCAAGTGATTCTTCTGCCTCAGCCTCCCTAGTAGCGGGGATTACAGGCACCCGCCAGTACGCCTGGCTAATTTTTTGTATTTTTAGTAGAGACGGGGTTTCACCACGTTGGCCAGGCTGGTCTTGATCTCCTGACCTCAGGTGATCTGCCCGCCTCGGCCTCCCAAAGTGCTGGGATTACAGGCGTGAGCCACTGCATCTGGCCAACATTAGCTTTATGTAGTTGAACTATGTATATGATTTTGGAGTGACCTGTACTAGAACAGAGAGGAGGCAGAGGGAGGAGCAAGGTGATCTGGAAGGTGACGAATCCAGTCCCATCTGTGGCTGCAGTTAGTGGCTGCAACTGCCCTGGCACTTGCCCTTTGGTGTCAGTTCCCATTGGCTGAAGAGCTACTGAGCTTCATACAGTCTGGAGGTGGGGCTTGAGTTTCTGCCAGGAAAGCTGGGAGAGCCAGGGAGAAGCCAAGAGGCGGGAGAAAGTGCTTCAAGCCGAGGACCTGCCGTTGTTAAAGGCCTGGAAGTGAGAACGTGCCAGGCCCTTTGAGAGGTTACTGTCAACAGTGAGATGGGTGAGTCATCAGCTGGGGCCCCACGGCTCTTGTTTGGGCTGGCTTGGTGGCTTCCTGCTGGGCATAGAGTGAGCAGTGTTTTAGAAAGAGTCATCTGATGTCAGCAGGAGGGATGCAGGATGAATGTCCTGTCACACCTGTCCTGAAATCCTCCAGCACCTTCCCTTCGCCTATGGGGCCCCCCTTCCCTTTGCACAGCTGTCAAGGCCTTGTGTGACCTGACCCCTGGACCCCCTGCCTACCTCTGTGGCCTCAGGACCAACTCCGTGCTAGAATTGTGAACTCTCACGAGAGAGAGATTTTGTCGGTTTTGTAACAAAACTTGCTCATTGCAGTCTCTGGTGCCGAGAACTGTGCCTGGCACACAGTAGGTGCTCAGTAAATATTAGCTGAATGAATGCATGAACCAGCCAGACTAAACTCATGTCATTGTGCCTCACATAGTCTCTCTCCTGTCTGTTCCCCAGCCCCACCAGCATCTCTAACCACTGCTTTTTTTTTTTGAGACGGAGTCTCTCTCTGTCACCCAGGCTGGAGTGCAGTGGCGCGATCTCGGCTCACTGCAACCTCCGCCTCCTGGGTTCAAGCGATTCTCCTGCCTCAGCCTCCTGAGTAGCTGGGACTACAGGCGTCCACCACCACGCCTAGCTAATTTTTGTATTTTTAGTAGAGACGGGGTTTCACCGTGTTAGCCAGGATGGTCTCAAACTCCTGACCTCAGGTGATCTGCCTGCCTCAGCCTCCCAAAGTGCTGGGATTACAGGTGTGAGCCACTGCGCCCGGCCATAATTTTTTTTTTTTTTTTTGAGACAGAGTCTTGCTCTGTCGCCCAGACTAGAGTGCAGTGGTGTGATCTCAGCTCACTGCAACCACTGCCTCCCGGATTCAAGGAATTCTTGTGCCTCATCCTCCAGAGTAGCTGGGATTACAGGCCTGTGCCACCCCTCCTGGTTAATTTTTGTATTTTTAGTAGAGACAGGGTTTTACCACGTAGACCAGGCTGGTCACGAACTCCTGAACTCAAGTGATCTACCTGCCTCGGCCTCCCAAAGTGCGGGATTAAAGGCGTGAGCCACTGCGCCCAGCCTAATTTTTTTTTTTTTTTTGAGACAGGGTCTTTCTCTGTGGCCCAGTCTGGAACACAGTAGCACAAACACAGTTCATTGCAGCCTCAATATCCTGACCCAAGCAATCCTCCTGCCTCAGCCTCCCAAGAAGCCGGGACCACAAGAGCATGCCACCACACTCAGCTAATTATTTTTTAAAATTTTTATAGAGATGAGGTCTTGCCATGTTGCCCAGCTGGTCTCAAACTCCTGGGCTTGAGTGATCCTCCTGCCTCGGCCTCCCGAACTGTTGGGATTTCAGGCGTAAGCCACTGCACCCGGCCTATATGTATAGTTTATTCGTGGACACAAATAAGGAAAAATGTATAACTAACTCTTAGAGGCTCCCTCTGTCAGAGGGAACCAGAGGAGACTTTCTCTTTCTTTATTATGTGTGTCTACAGAGTTAGAATTGTTAGTGATGTAACAGGAAAATAAAGAAGTTAAAATAGAAGTGCCACGATTGGGAACGTAGAGTGGGCTCTGAGGGCACCAGCGGGCACATCTGACGCAGCCAACGGGGAGTCACGGGAGGCTCCCTGGAGGAGGTGACGTTTAAAGTCGAATCTAAAAATAAGCAGTGGGCCAGGTGCCGTGTCTCACACCTGTAATCCCAGCCCTTTGGGAGGCCGAGGCGGGTGGATCACCTGAGGTCAGGGGTTCGAGACCAGCCTGGCCAACATGATGAAACCCCATCTCTACTAAAAATACAAAAATTAGCCGGGCCTGGTGGCGGGTTCCTGTAATCCCAGCTACTTGGGAGGCTGAGGCGAAAGAATGGGTTGAACCGAGGAGGCGGAGGTTGCAGTGAGCTGAGATCATGCCACTGCACTCCAGCCTGGGTGACAGAGCGAGACTCCGTCTCAAAAAAAAAAAAAAAAAAAAAAAAAATCGCAATAGGTGTTTCCATGTTATCCCTTCCAGAAAAGTGGCACCTCAGCTGCAGAGTTCTGACACTGCTCCCCTCCCCAGTACGGCCTTGCCCCTCCCTTGACACTGCCTTGGGAGTCAGTCACCAGGTCAATCTGTCCCTGAGACTGTCAGCTCCGCGAGGGTAGGCACGGGGTTCCCTGTCCATGGCTGCATTCCGATGCTAGCACACTGCCTGGTGCACAGCAGGCGGCTAACAAATGCTTGCTGATTGGGTCAGGCGGTTAACAACTGCTTGCTGATTGGGTCAGGCGTTAACAAATGCTTGCTGATTGGGTCAGGTGGTTAACAAATGCTTGCTGATTGGGTCAGGCGTTAACAAATGCTTGCTGATTGGGTCAGGCGTTAACAAATGCTTGCTGATTGGGTCAGGGAAGGAGGGAATGGAGGGTGGGTGTGGGGGAAGACTGTGGGGAGTCAACCATTGGAGACTGAGATTTAGACTTGATGGTGTCAGAAATCTCAGTGGCTGCGAAAGATTTCAAACAGTAGCTAGGTGTGGTGTGTGCTTATGCCCCTCACCCTCCATGATGCTGTTCAGCCCACTTCTCCAAGTTCATCTTCTGTCCTCTAGCAAGCAGCGCTTCTTAACCTGCCTTCCTTCCTCTCTTCCTTCCTTCCTTCCTCCCTCCCTCCCTCCCTCAAGACAGAGTCTGGCTCTGTTGCCCAGGCTGGAGTGCAGTGGTGCGATCATAGCTCATTGCAGCCTCCAACTCTTGAGCTCAAACGATCCTCCCACCTCAGCCTCCTGAGTACCTGAGATTTCAGGTGCGCCACTGCAACCGGGTTGCTGAAGCTGCTTAACCCTTTCCTTTCGGGCCTTCTCTTCTTTGCCTGGAAACCCTTCCCTATTTCCAGATGCTACTCAGAAGCCACTGTCCTGTGAAGCTTTCACTCTCAGGCAGCGTTAGTGCCACTGTCCTCCATCCCCAGGGTGGCTGGTAAACGAGAACACTGCCTCGTGTGTTCACACGTCCTCACCCCAGACGGATCGAGAGCCTGAGAACGGCAAGGGCCCCGTCTCCCAGCCTCGTATGTGTGCCATGCCAGGCCTTTTCTGGGTATGAATGAATGAATGAACAGACAGATGGACAGACAAGATCAGGAGCCAAAGTGGGGAAGTACGTGTGGTCGTGTGGGTGTAAGAGGCTCTAAAGCTTGGTGGGGTGGTGGCTTTGGCAAAGGAAAAGAAGAACCGAAGGACTTGGTAAAAGGGATGTGGGGGTTGAGGGAAGGAAGACTCGTAAGATGGCGGCCGCACTAACAGAAGTGGAAACCCGGAAGGGGAAGCTGTTTCAGAAGGAGGAAGGGTCCTTTGGTCCAGATGTGTGGAGTGGAAGGGCCGTGGCTGGGCTTCCAAGTGAGGAGACCCAGTGGCCGGGGCAGGTGCTAGACCTAGAGCCCAGCAAGACACCAGGGCTGCAGCTGGCAGCGGGCCACCACTGGCCTGGAAGGGAGAAGGGCTGCTTCTCTGGGGGAAGGGAGCAGAGGGCTGAGGCTGGGCCCAAGCAAGTGACTCCACATTTACAGGAGGCGGGAGAATGAAGGGCCAGCCTACACCAGAGAGTGGTCGGGGCAGTGCCTGCATCAACAGGGCAGCTGAGGGCTTGGAGAAACTCTAGACTGCAGAGGCCAAAGAGTCGGAGAGGGAGGCCTCTGGCTTTGGAATAAACCGTTTGGGGGGGCCTTTGAAGCAGGCTGCTTCTATGGAGAACATTAGGAGCCAGGCCGAGGCAGATGGAGTGTGGAGCTCAGGTCCAGGGCTGGCTCAGGGCATTTGTCAGGGAAGGGGAGGGAAGCTGTGGGGACTGGTGAGTCACTTCCCCTCCAGGGGGGCACCGAGGGCCTGTGAGTGGAGTCTGTGTCTGATGGAGGGGCACTCTCATTACTCACTGGAATTTCCAGCCACCGGGGACAGGGTGGAGTAGAGAGGCCCTGGATACTCAGGGAGTCACTTGTGTGGGGTTCAGGGATTTTGGGAAGAAGTGGGCGTCAGTCTCACCATGCCGTGTAGAGGTGTGGGGAACGGGGACGAGGATATCCTGGCAGACTTCCAAGGGCACCTCATGTCCTCTTGAGTGGAGGAAGGAACACAGCAGGGGCCTGTGGGGTTTTAGGCCCTTCTTCGTGTCACCTGCAGGTCTGACTCATGTGGGCAGCCCATGCCATGCACTTGGAGCCCGCCGGGCGGGAGACAGAAGAACCCGTGGTACCAGGCCCTGAGCTGGCATACTTGTGCCCTGGGGAATGCCAGGCCTGGTCGTTCCCAAGCCCTCGCCACAGCCTCACCCGCCCGCACCAAATGAGGAATTGTGGCTGAAAGGGCCCTTCAGATGCGCCCTGGCTATTTATAACCCACCCAGGCAGGGACAGGGGAAAACCAGGGGCTGGAAGGAGATGGGTGGGGTGGGGGTGTGCCTCTGTTGAACCCTGGTGGCACAGTTCCCTGATCAAAGGCTGTTAGCCCTGGGGCCCCTCAAGGGCTCACCCCGCAATCCCCTGCTCTGTATTTCAGCTCTGCAACAGGATGGAGCCTCTCTCCAGGGAGGGCAGCTTCTCTGCTGCCAATGGAATTGCATGAGCCCCACCTAGAGCCCAGAGCTTCTGAAGAATTCTGGGGGGAGTGGGGGGCTGTGGCCTGAACTCGGGCCACAGGTGTGGTTCATTTAGACGGCACCATGTTGTTTTAAAATGTTAATTATTTGCCATCGTTTTAAAATCAGGAGCATTCCTGTTAATAAGCCAGATTTTAGCTTATTTTGAACAGAGATCAGGCAGCCATGAGCTTGCGTTTCCTCCAGCAGCCATCGGCTGGAGTGAGTGGTGGTTTCACCCTGCCCTACCTGGCTCGCTTCACCGGCTGGCCTCACCCGCAGGCCTCACCCGCACCCTCATGGGTGCCGTTTGCAACCTTTGCTCCATCGTTGGGTTGTAAAAGAGCTTTTCCCAGGGCCTCCTCTGGACTCCTCCTCCCATGGAAGGAGGTGTATGTGCATCTGGGAACTAGGGCCAGGGGGACCAGAATGTGGCCTCACTCCCTGCACAGTTGGGGGTTCTGCAACCATTGGAGAAGCCAGGGGAAGCTGGCTGGGAGTGGGCAGGGCCGGAGATGGTGCCTGTCCTGGGTTCTGTGTGCACTCCCCTTGCAGGATGGCTCCCTGCGGTGGGGTGGCTGGGGGGGCTGCTTGGAGGAGGTGGGGGTGCTGGTCTCAGCAGTGCCTGTGAGTAGGTGGGAGGCTGCTCAGAGGAGGTGGGGGTCCTGGTCTCTGCAGCGCCTGTGAGTAGGGGGGCTGGTCTGTGAGTGGGGGGGCTGCTCAGAGGAGGTGGGGGTGCTGGTGTCAGTAGCGTCCGTGAGTGGGGGGACTGCTCGGAGGAGGGGGGCTGCTTGGAGGAGGGGGATCCTGGTCCCTGTGAGTGGGACGCCCACCGCTCCTGTGCAGGACAGTGGTGGCGCCGCGCTCCTGCCTGGGGGCAGGTCAGGCCTGTCTGTTGCAAAGCCTGACTCCTCCAGCGGCGGCGGGACGCGGCTGTGGCTTCTGGGCGGGCCGGGGCCTCCCCTCCGGAAGGGGGCTCCGGCGCATGGGGACTCCGGGGTGGCTCTGGGGGTCGCCCCTGCTCGCCGGGCTCCTGGCTCGGCCGCGCGCGGGGAATGAAGATGCGTCTGGGAAGCGGCCTCCCCGCTCCACCCCACCCCGGCCCGGCCGCGGCCTCCTCGCTCCTCCTCCGCCGCAGAAGCCTCCGCCAGCCGCGGCCCCGCAACCCCAGAGGACGGGCGGCTCCACCTCGCGACGCGCGTTTCCTGTGTGTTCGGAGCGAGCGCGAGCCCGAGCCCCGGAGCCCGGGAAGGGCGGGCCCTGCGGGGCCGGGCGGGACACGGAGGAGGGCGCTGGGCTGCTGTGCGGCGGGTTCGCCTCCGCCACGGGCCGGGCACGGCGTCAGGGGCTGCCCGGGCCTTGCTCCCCCTTTCGCCGGGCGAGGACGCGCGAGGCGGCGGCGGCGGCGGCGGAGCGGGCTGGACTAGGTCCGGGATGCAGTCCCGGGTCGGGAGCCCCAGGCCGGGCGCGCGGGTGTAGACCTGCCCCCCCTCCCGCCCGCCTCCTCCCTCCTCCCTCCTCCCGCCGCCGCTGCGTGGACCCCGCTTCCTGTCTGCCCTCCGCGGGCTCCGGCTGCCATGGAGGAGGAAGAGGAGGCGATAGGCTTGCTGGACAAGGTTCTGGAGGACGAAGATGTGTTTCTCCTGGAGGAGTGCGAGCTGGGAACCCCGACCAGCCCCGGCTCAGGGTCCCCCTTCCTGGTGGCTGTGAAGGTGGGAGCGTGACACGCCCTGGGCGCTGGGGGGGGCCGGGCCGGCGCTGCCGAAGGTGCGCGGGAGAAATGGCTGATGCGGGCGCAGAGCGCGCGGCCGGGTGGAAGCCCTCGGCGGAGGGTCCCGGCCCCGGCAGCTGTTCCCGGGGGAGAGGGGCGGGCCTGCCTCCCCGACCGGTGTCCTCGGGGCAGTGGTGGCCGCCCCCTCCAGGCCAGCCCAGCTCAGGGCTCCGGCGGCTGTGCCAGGAGTCACCTGGCGCGCCTGTCAGCCCGAGCCTCGCCGCCTCCCTGGAGCGGGTGGGCAGGAATCCCCCGTTTCCACGGCAACCGCAAGAGAGGGGCCACCCTCTTCCCAGCCAGGAGACAGGGACTTGGTGTCTCCGAGCTGAGGCAAGAGGGTGTTTGCAAAGGGCAAGAGCCAGAGGTCACTGAGCTTCCTTGAAGGAAAAGCACTGGGTCAGCTGAAGGGGGGAGGGAACAGCTGGCTTGGAGGCTGCAGCCAGGTGGGCAGGTGCCCTTCCCGAGGCGGGACAGGCAGGGAGCATCTGCTGGGCCCTGGCCCACCCGCTCTGGGGCTGACGGCGTTCTCTGCAGCAGTGACCCGTCCTGTAGGAGAGGTTGGCTCCCGGTGGAACTGGAGGGCAGTGGTGGCCAGAATCCCTTGAGGAGCGGGGCGGCCCCGGAACCACGCCGGCTCTGTGAGTCTGGCCCGGCACACCACAGCGGTCTTCCTTTTTCTCTCCTGGACACACCTCTCAGAGCTTCCACCTCAGCCTTTTGCTCAGCTGCTCTCTGGTTCTGTGTCGAGAAGGGAGGCCCAGTGAGGATGCGTTTCGGGGAGTTTGCAGACTGCTAGGCGAGGCTGCCTAACCGAGTGCCCATCGGCGGGGCCTAGAAGGCATGTGCAGCCAGCATTGCTGGGGACGGGAGGCTGTCCCTGAACCTCTCTGGGCCTCCCTGCCCCTCACAGAAGATGGGGATCACAGTCCTGCCCCACCCACTCTACAGTGTGGCTCTGAGGAGGAGCCAATGGAGGTAAAAATAGATGCAGAACCACGGGAGATGGCTGATGTGTGAGTATGGGTGGAGCGGTGGCTGCAGGCCTGGGTGGGGAGTGGAGCTGTAGGGAGGCTGGCAGTGGCTGGCACCCCACCCTGTCTTCTCTGATCTGGTGCTGGCGTAGGGCCGTGGGGGTAAGTCACGTCTCCCCGTGGGCTCAGGGAGGCCTCTGCACTTAGGGTCTGACCAGCCTCCCCACTAGGAACAGGGTGGGAAAGTCTGCTCCTGAGCCAGGAGTCAGGCTGGGAGTAGCAATGCTGGGATGGGAGGTGTGTGGCCCTCATGGGCCTCCTCTGGGAAGCCCCCAGCACAGATGTGGGCCCACTCAGAGGCTGCCTCCTGGACCTCCCCTTCTGCTGGACCCCGGCGTATGCCTCAGCTAAGCCCGTATTTCATTCTGCTCAGATGCTCAGAACTCTAGACATTTGCCTCCGCAATTATATCCCATTCTCCTGGAGGACCAGGACCATGTCATATTCATTGCTGAACACTGCACAGTGCTTGGTGTGGGGCTGGTGCCTGTGAGAGTCTGCACAATGTGTGAGGCCCGCTGGGGCCCACGAAGGGTGCACCAGGTTCCCAGCCTCGCTCCATCTCAGAGGTGTCCTGCTGTGTACGGCGGTGGCCCACGGATGCCAAGAGAGCCTGAGCACGTGTCACACCTGAAAACGCTGCTCCTCCTGGGTCCCCGTGAGCACCGGGATGGTGTCTTCCCCTCTACTTTGCTGCCAGCATGGGGGAAGGAGACCTTTCTCGAATGCCGGGGAGTTCCAGGCTCCCTGCTCCATCCTGAACACCTCTAGAATTCCTCCCTCCTCTACCGGCATTGGCCTCAGAGGGAGAAGACAAGCAGGTGGCCACAGAGCGGTGGGAAGAAAGCTCCTGGATTCATTCAACAAACACTCTCAGGTTAGGTGCTCTTCAGAGCACCCTGCCTGGCACTGTAGAGATGACAAGAGGAACAAGGCGTGATCTTCCCTCACAAGGCGTTCAGAGCAAGGGGCAGGTACAGGGAGTAGGAATAGAGTACGGAAGTAGGCAGGGTGGGCCAGATGCGGTGGCACACGCCTGTATTCCCAGCACTTTGGGAGGCTGAGGTGGGCGGATCACCTGAGGTCAGGAGTTCGAGATCAGCCTGACCAATATAGTGAAACCACATCTCTACTAAAAATACAAAAATTAGCCGGGCGTAGTGGTGGGCGTCTGTAATCCCAGCTACTCAGGAGGCTGAGGCAGGAGAATCGCTTGAACCTGGGAGGCAGAGGTTGCAGCGAGCCAAGATCATGCCACTGCATTCCAGCCTGGGCGACAGGGTGAGACTCAGTCTCAAAAAAAAAAAAAAAAAAAAGACTGTGAGAAGAGTACTGATAAAAGGGCACCAAATTCAGGGGAGAAGGGACCACTTCTAGTGGAGTTGGGGATGGCCTGGATGCGTGCATGTGTGTGTGTGTGCAGGCCAAGGGTCATTTCTGGATGATACACTCCTGTCCTGGGCTGCAGAGGTTCTTGGCACACCCTTCCCTGGCAGCTAGTAGGAATCCAAGGCAATTCTCTTTGCTATTACTTTACTTTAGGGGTACTTACCTTAAGCAGCAGTTGCGTTGTGAGCATGTGCCCAAGTGCCAGGCCCATAAATCAATCCTGTTTCCAGTGTCATTTCCAAGACGCTTCATCTTCCTGGGGGGCAGAGGTAAAGTTGGCTGCAGTTTTCTCCAAAGCTATAGCTGGAGTTTGCTGCATATCTCAGCCCAGACTTACCTTTGAAGAGTTATTGATCTGTAAAACTGGTAATGCAAATAAAATACTGATAGCAGCGTCATGTTGCATTTGTAAAATGGCTTACACTTGCCAAAAATGTTTCATGCCATTCTATTTAAAGATAGGTAGGGTTGTGACGGGGGCGTTGTAGAAGGTGCTATTTTAAGGAACTTATTTGTCAGGAATAAAAACCCTTTTGTAATGCAGATTAACCCTTTAGGTATCATTCTGTGCCATTTTTTTTTTTCTTTTGAGACAGAGTCTCACTCTGTCACCCAGGCTGGAGTGCGATGGCACAATCATGGCTCTCTGTGGCCTCCACCTCCCAGACTCAATCAGTCCTCCCACCTCAGCCTCCCCCTCACTACAGGCACATGCCACCACGTTGGGCTAATTTTTATATTTTTGTAGAGACAGGGTTTCACCATGTTGCCCATGCTAGTCTGTAACTCCTGGGCTCAAGCAATCTGCCCCTCTTGGCCTCCCAAAGTGCTGGGATTACAGGAGTGAGCCACTGAGCCCAGCCCAATTCTGTGCCAGTTTTTAATGGATCATCTGAAACATCTCTATTTCTGTTTCACCTGCCCAGGTCTCTTGTGCCTGCACATCATGCCTGTATCCCCCATTTGGATGTTTTTCTAAGTGCGGGCCCCACGTGGTGATTTGAGAAATGATCGGTGGCACCTCGATCTATATTTTGCATTTTAATGGTTAAGTATATATTTTAATATATATTAGAAAAAATATGACCTGTACATTTTTCTTACGATTTCAAATACGTGTAGGGTAAGACTGCTTTTTACAAGTCAGTTCTTGGGCGCAGTGGCTCATGCCTGTAATCCCAGCACTTTGGGAGACTGGGCGCGGTGGATCATGAGGTCAGGAGTTCAAGACCAGCCTGGCCAACATGGTGAAACCCTGTCTCTACTAAAAACACAAAAAGTATCTGGGCGTGGTGGCGTGCACCTGTAATCCCAACTACTCAGGAGGCTGAAGCAGGAGAATCACTTGAACCCGGGAGATGGAGGTTGCAGTGAGCCAAGATCCTGCCACTGCACTCCAGCCTGGGTGACACAGTGAGACTCTGTCTCAAAAAAAAAAAAAAAAAAAAAAAGTTACTGTAAAGAACAATATTGAGTAAAGAATAGTGCAGGTGGTGGTATGTGAGTATGGCAAAATTTTAAGGGTGGGATATGAACAACCAAAGTTTCAAAACATTGCCTGTGCCCTATGGTGCCTGCCTAAGACCTCAGACAGCAATAGGGAGCCCAGAATACGGGGATCCACCCTTCAGGAGAGAGGGGCCACTGGAATTTGGTCTTTGTCCCCCAGCAGTTGACCCGTCTTCTCTGTTCTAAATTCTGCCAAGGAAGCAGCTGAAAGAGACTTCCTCAGCGCCTAGCGCTGGGAGAGGAGAGGGTCTCTCGATGCCTCTACACTGCCTCAGCTGTCCTGAGACTGAGATGGGCCAGTTGTCCTGAGGTTGATGCTTGGTGTGGGTATAAGCCCCAGGCACGGCCACCCCCACCCCCAGGCCCAGTGGCATCTACTCTGAGCAGATCCTGCTGGGTACTCCTGGCAGCCAGCTGTGGCCCGTGAACTGACTTCTACCGTCTGTGAAGCCTCAGACCCTCGCTGCATGCCCTATAGCCTTGAGTCGCAGCCAGAGAGCCAGCCCTGCTTGTTGTCTTGGAGGCCAGTGCTACTGGAGAGATTGTGTCTTTGCTTGGCCTGGAACCAGATGTTTGGAGGCTTTATTTAGCCTCTCAACTCTGTGGAGGACCAGGCCTGAGCTGGCCACGCCTTATCTCTAGACATTGTTCCTACCAGAGTGACCTGACGTCTTTGGTTTGGCGGCTTCAAGCTGCCACACTGTCAGCCTAGCAGATTGTGCAGGATGCTGAGGATAAACGAACCCACCAGGACTGCATTTCACAAGTTCTGGCTGGGAGGAAGTGAGGACAGGCAGCTTCCCGGTGCTGGAGACAGGTAGGCAGCGTGGCAGAGGCTGTGGGACCTGGAACTCTTTAGAGAACTCGCTCCGGAGCATTCTAGGCACGTGGGCACCTCTCCTTCACCTTCGTATTCCCAGTGCCTGGCTCCCGGTGGGAATGGGTGAGTGAGTGGTGAGCCTGGTTTTTGATGAGACAAGAGACGCCCTGCAAAGACTGAAGAAACAATGTGAATTTCCTCATGGCTCTAAACTGGGAATTGTGGAGTCTGAGGAAAGCTGGAAAAGATGGGAGATGGAACAGGCCTTCCTTTGGTGGTGACTGAGCAACGGGTCTCCTGTTAGCCAAGTGCACCGAGGCTAATTTCCCATCCGTACGCTCTCCAACGCCTTTGCTCCAATCTCAGCCAAAACTGCAGCGTGAACGGGGCCCAGAGCAGGACTCTTGGGGCTGACTGTTGCCTCTTGAGGGAGGGTCTTCCTGAGTTGTCTTCCCATCAGAACCAGCCTTTCAAGAGTGGACTATGAATGGAAGTCTTGAGGGGAGGATCTTGCAGAAATGGGCGATTACAGGGCTTCCAGGGTCTATGCTCGTGCCAGGGGGGATGAAGCTTGTTTGTGGCTGGGGCTGCAAATCCCTTTCTTCCCCCCATCCTAGTCCAACCAGCTCTACAGTTACAGCTCACGGTGTGGCATTTGCTAAACCCTCAGGCAAAACCTTGGTTGGCAGGGAACAGGAGGGAGTGCTAGCCCCCAGCACAGGGGATGAGTTCCCATTTGTCAAGGCTGGGAAGCAGCAGGAAGACCCCTGAGGGTCTGACCTGGAGGGGCTGGAGCTGGGGGCTGTTCCAGGCTCTGATCTTGTCCCCCGGGGCTACGTGTGCTGGAGGCTGTGCAGGCCTCTGGCAGTCCCGACTCTCGGTGCCTCAGGAAGATGATAACACCTGCCAGGTTTTGAGACTCCGGTGAATTGAACCACAAAGATAGCTAAGCTCAGTTCCTGGAATTTGTGAAGCCGCCAATAAGTAACTATTGCCCTTGCCTGAAGCGTGGGGTCTGTCTTGCTTTTCTAATGCTGCTGAAACAAATCGCCACAAACTTAAGGGCTTAAAACCACACAAATTTATTCTCTTATACAGAAATCTAAAAAGGATCTCGGCCCGGCTCCATGGCTCACACCTGTAATCCCAGCACTTTGGGAGGCCGAGGCGGGCGCATCACCTGAGGTCAGGAGTTTGAGACGAGCCTGGCCAACATGGTGAAACCCCATCTCTACTAAAAATACAAAAATTAGTGGGTGTGATGGTGGACGCCTGTAATCCCAGGTACTCGGGAGGCTGAGGCAGGAGAATCGCTTGAACCTGGGAGGCAGAGGTTGCAGTGAGCTGAGATCATGCCATTGCACTCCAGCCCTGGGCGACAGAGGGAGACTTTGTCTCAATAAGTAAATACATAAATAAATAGATTAATTAAAATAAAAAGGATCTCCAGGGCTGCATTGCTTCTGGAAGCTCTAGGGCAAGCTTTTCCAGCCTGCGGCCATACGGCCCAGGACTGCTTTGAATGTGGCCCGACACAAATTTGTAAACTCTTAAAACATTATATATTTTTCTTTTAGTTCATCTGCTGTCGTTAGTGTTATTGTATTTTATGTGTGGCCCAAGACAGTCGTCTTCTTCCAGTGTGGCTCAGGGGAGCCAAAAGATCGGAAGCCCCTGCTCTAGGGGAGTGAGTTCATTTTATTGCCATTTCCAGCTTCCAAAGGCTCTCTGCATTCCTTAGCTCGTGGCCCCATCCTCTGTCTTCAAACCTACCAGTGTAGCATCTTCCAAGCAGTCCCTCACCACTACCCTGTCTCCCCGGCCCTCTCACTCCCCTTCTGTGGCCACGATGCCTCAGGGAAAGATGGCATTTTAGGCAGCAGGTAAAGAACGAACCGAAAGCTAGAGACCTTTGAAGATGAGGAGGCTGGTTCTCCTGCGTGTGGGGGAGACTGAGCGATGTCCTGGCTGTGGGAAAGACTGGAAGGGTAGGGACGGGCATCCGGGCCACTGCAGGTGGCTCATAAAGGATATGGTGGGCCCCATGTCCCAGTCTAGGGCCGAATCTTTACTTGTTTTTTAAATGTCTTTCCGGCAGGGTGCGGTGGCTCACACCTGTAATCCCAGCACTTTGGGAGGCCAAGGCGGGCGGATCACGAGGTCAGGAGATCGAGACCATCCTGGCTAACACGGTGAAATCCCGGCTCTACTAAAAATACAAAAAGTTAGCTGGGCGTGGTGGCGGGAGCCTGTAGTCCCAGCTACTCGGGAGGCTGAGGCAGGAGAATGGCGTGAACCCGGGAGGCGGAGCTTGCAGTGAGCCGAGATCGCGCCACTGCACTCTAGCCTGGGCGACAGAGCGAGACTCCGTCTCTAAAAAAAAAAAAAAAAGAAAAAATAAATGTCTTTCCCACTAGAGTCTAAGCCACTTGAGAACAGGGGCCACTGTCTGTTTCCCATGGTATCTATAGGGCCTGGTGGACATTCAGTAAATATTTATTGAATGAATAAATAAATGGACACATAGCCCAGTGGAATCCCCAAGTACTCGCGTTTTGCGGTATTCATACTCGGTCCTTGGCAAGCATCGGGCAAGGTGGCACTCTTAGGAGTTGAATCCAGCTCTGGTGTGTGGGACAGGCAGGAGGAGAGGAAGAGAGGGAGGAAAAGTCGGTTCGAGAACCCAGGTGGAAAATAGATTGAGGGAAGCAAAACGAGATGTTACAGGAGGAATATGGGTGATTGTCTTTTCCTTTTATATTTCTGCATGTTTTGTATATTTTTTATAATAATATCTGACTTTTATCCCCTATGAAAGTGTCGCTTAAAATAAAAGGAAAGGGGAAAGGGGGGCCGGGCGCGGTGGCTCACGCCTGTAATCCCAGCACTTTGGGAGGCTGAGGCGGACGGATCACCTGAGGTCAGGAGTTCTATACCAGCCTGGCCAACATGGTGAAACCCCATCTCTACTAAAAATACAAAAAAAATTAGTCTGGCATAATGGCTGGGCATGGTGGCTCACACCTGTAATCCCAGCACTTTGGGAGGCTGAGGTGGGTGGATCACCTGAGGTCAGGAGTTCTATATCAGCCTGGCCAACATGGTGAAACCCCATCTCTACTAAAAATACAAAAATTATCTGGGCATGGTGGCAGGTGCCTGTAATCCCAGCTACTCGGGAGGCTGAGGCAGGGGAATCACTGGAACCCGGGAGGCGGAGGTTGCAGTGAGCCGAGATTGTGCCACTTTACTTCAGCCTAGGTGACAGAGCGAGACTTCGTCTCAAAAAAAAAATAAAGGTCGGGGGGGAAGGGCAGGGAAGCAGACCGTCCACGCAGGGTTTTGGCCTCCTTGCTCATGAGCTGTTGGCTGTGCTTTGCGTTTGTGCAGGTGGAAGCAGGGAAAGGCCTGGAGATGAGGAAGCTGGTTCTCTCGGGGTTCTTGGCCAGCGAAGAGATCTACATTAACCAGCTGGAAGCCCTGTTGCTGGTGAGTACAGTCCCTGCTCTGGGGCCTTCCGGTCCCCCCGCCCGTGTTGGGTGATGTCATGCTCTGAAGCTGCTTTTGGAGTTGGAGAGGAAAGGGGACCGTACCCGTCCCTCCCTGTGGACAGAGTCTGCAGCTGGTCTGCTTCTGGCTGGGCATCGGGCAGCCCGGGTCATTGCCAGAAAGGGCCTGTGCCTCTCAGCTCCAGCTCTCAAAAGGCAGGAGAAGCACACCCGGCTTAGAGATGGCAAACACACCTGTCACCCACGACCCTGGCATAGGGCATCGTGAACCCATCATGGTGCTCTGCCTGCCTGGGCGGGGGCCGAGCGCCTTCTCCACGCTGTGCTCTGGGCAGTCATTCCCAATCAATCCAGTTAAGAAGTCTCTGCCGTCTTGTGTCCAAGTCCTTCTACCTCCCTGGGTGAGGGAACCGTTAGTGCCATCCTGAGGCCCCGTGTCAGGAAATATGAGGTGGGAGGCTGTGTTCTTTTTTTTTTTTTTTTTTTTTTTAAGACGGAGCTTTGCTCTTGTCACCCAGGCTGGAGTGCAGTGGTGCGATCTCGGCTCACTGCAACCTCTGCCTCCCGGGTTCAAGTGATTCTCCTGCCTCAGCCTCCCGAGTGGCTGGAATTGCACGTGCACGCCACCAGTCCTGGCTAATTTTTGTATTTAGTAGAGACAGGATTTTATCATGTTGGCCAGGCTGGTTTCCAACTCCTGACCTCAGGTGATCTGCCCGCCTTGGCCTCCCAAAGTGCTGGGATTACAGGCATGAGCCACTGCGCCCGGCCTGTCTGTGTTCTTTTGAGAAGCGGCACAGCTCTGAGGCATCAGGCCAAGCTCAGCCCTCGGTAACATGCCTCAGTTCCCCTCCCAGATGGAGGCATCGTTGTGAGAGTCTGATTGGGAGGGGAATATGAAAATGTTTTCGGAAGATAAAAGTACTACACAGATGTGAGGTGGTTTTGCCTTGGAAGAAAGTGCTCCTTAGATGTGTCTGGATGTTATGCAGAGTGATCGTGGCGTGTCAATCTTTCTTTTGGGTATTTTGCAGCCTGAGACATAAGGTAATTGTCAGAAAAGGGAGACGCAGAAGTGTGGATCTGTGGAAGCTCATTCTTAACAAGAATTCTAAGATGCACATTTAAGTACTTGCCATGACGTGAGGTGTTGTCACACGTCAACCCTGAGATGCTGTCAGTGTCCCAGGGGACTTGACATTTATGTTACCCAGGAATGACTGTGTAAATGTGCAGGTGCAGGCCGGGCGCCGTGGCTCAGTGCCTGTAATCCCAGCACTTTGGGAGCCCCAGGTGGGCAGATCACTTGAGGACAGGAGTTCGAGACCAGCCTGGCCAATGTGGTGAAACCTTGTCTCTGCTAGAAATGCAAAAAAAAGCCAGGCGTGGTGGTGCATACCTGTAATCCCAGTTACTCAGGAGGCTGAGGCATGAGAATTGCTTGAATCTGGGGGCGAAGGTCGTAGTGAGCTGAGAGTGCGCCACTGTACTCCAGACTGGACGACGGAAGTGAAATTCCTCAAAAAAAAAGGCTGGGTGCAGTGGCTGACACCTGTAATCCCAGCACTTTGGGAGGCCGAGGTGGGTGGATCACCTGAGGTCAGGAGTTCGAGACCAGCCTGGCCAACATGGTGAAGCCCCATCTCTACTAAAAATACAAAAAATTAGCTGGGCGTGGTGGCGGGCCCCTGTAATCCCAGCTACTCAGGAGGCTGAGGCAGGAGAATCGCTTGAACCCGGGAGGTGGAGGTTGCAGTGAGCCGAGTTTGCACCATTGCACTCCAGCCGGGGCAACAAGAGTGAAACTCTGAATGTGCAGCTGTTTTGCCACACGCCAGGCTGAGTACGTCCCATCTCTCCAGGAGTTTATCTGTGTGTACGGAGCTGTTTTCCAAGTGAGGGGCAGTGTGGCAGGTAGCTGAGGGTCCTGGTCTGGGGCCAGAGCTAGGGCAAGACTTGGCCCTGCCATTAAGAGCAGGCGTATTGCACTGTTTCTCAAACTGTGCCTCTCAGCCCATCAGTGCTTTGGGTTGTGAAATCAGTACAGTGGGTTGTGAAACCAGTACAGTGGGTTGAACCAGCATTTTTAAACCAATGAAAAAATGTCAGCATGCATCATACACGGGAAAGATAAGTGAGGGAACTTTCGGTTTGTTGTCTGTCTGTGTGCCTGTATATATATGTAATTGCCGGGCCCATGGTGTCTTACACCTGTTGTGGGTTTGAAAACTGCTGGCTTTGGCCGGGCGCCGTGTCTCAAGCCTGTAATCCCAGCACTTTGGGAGGCTGAGGTGGGCGGATCACAAGGTCAGGAGATCCAGACCATCCTTGGCCAACACGGTGAAACCCCGTCTCTACTAAAAAAGTACAAAAAAAATTAGCCGGGCGTGGTGGCGAGCACCTGTAGTCCCAGCCACTCGGGAGGCTGAGGCAGGAGAATGGCGTCAACCTGGGAGGCGGAGCTTGCAGTGAGCAGAGATTGCGCCACTGCACTCCAGCCTGGGCGACACAGTGAGACTCCATCACAAAAAAAAAAAAAAAGAAAAGAAAACTGCTGGCTTTGGGCAAGCCCTACATAAATTCCTTGAGCCTCCATTTCTGGATCTGAAGATGAGAGGGATGCCATTCTTTCTCTCTCTTTCCATGGGGTTGAGAAGATCGGGAGATGCTTTCGGGACCTCATACAGCGTTGAGTTACTTAAGACACTCAACTGTTAGTGGAAGAAAGGAGGACAGGCAAAGAGACAACCCGTCAGACATTCGTGAAACACGTCTTCCAAACCGTGAATTGCTGTCCAAAAAGGAACATAGTTGTCATTACTAACAGGGTGTGTATTTGAAAGGAGTTCAGACAGAGGATCTAGACTGCCTGGCCGTACTGGCTCCAGGCTTTCAGCAGGTGAATGAGCTATCGTGCCTCAGTTTTTCCATCTGCAAACTGGGTATACAAATAGTATGCTTTTCATGGGGTCGTTGTGAGGATTAAAGGAATTTATACACAGAGTTCTTTTTTTTTTTTTTTTTTTGAGACGGAGTCTTGCTCTGTTGCCCAGGCTGGAGTGCAGTGGCACAATCTCGGCTCATTATAACCTCCGCCTCCTGGGTTCAAGCCATTCTCCTGTGTCAGCTTCCCAAGTAGCTGAGATTACAGGCACCCACCACCACGCCCAGCTAATTTTTGTATTTTTAGTAGAGATGAGATTTCACCATGTTGGCCAGGCTGGTCTTGAACTCCTGACCTCAAGTGATCCGCCCGCCTCGGCCTCCCAAAGTGCTGGGATTACAGATGTGAGCCACTGTGTCCGGCACATAAAGCTCTTAGAACACAGCCTGAGTGTTCGTTGACACTGTTAATTTCTCTATTGCTGGGAGAGGAGACAGGTTAGGGCTTCGTGGTTTCTGCCACAACACACCCGTTCCCTGAAGGAGGGAGTGGCGCCTGTCC